>NC_000001.11:56372016-56523531 GCF_000001405.40 Homo sapiens | reverse complement strand
GTTGGTGCAAGAGTAATTGAGGTTTTTGCCGTTACAAAAACCCCTGGACTACATTACTTAAATGGCAAAAACCACTTACTCTTGCACCACCCTAAATATAACATTTTAGGGTACAAACACTGTTTTCTGAAAATCTATGGTGGGAAAAGATTGCTAAGTAAGTCTCAGAAAATTAAAGTGAACTGCCAAAATGTACGTAACAGCAGGACTGTTGCTCAAGCCCAAGCCTTCTGATAAATTTTTTTGCAACGTTCACCATGTCAGTCCTCTATATTCTACGGATGGAAGGGCTTTAAGGATCATCATTACCTAAGTATTTAGAATAATTTTGAGTTTTGCAAAATACTTCTGCTCCATGAGGACGCATGACTTCATAACAACACTGTGAAGTATAAAATCCATGCCCCATTTCTCAAATCCACAGACCAAGGCCCAGAGAGGATAAGCAGCATGTTTGAGTTCCTTCAACCAGTAGTAGAACCATGATTTGATTCCCATGCTCTTCTCATGGCCGTGTCTGCTCTGATTTCCTGGAGACGGTTGGGTAATGCAGGTGAAGTGCCCTGCTTGCCTCCAGCTGCTGGACAGACAGAGGGCTGGTCTGTTTTTCTTTGTCAGTTACATGTGGGTTTCCCTGCCTTGCCTTTCCCCTTGAATGAGGTCCGTGTGTGCCAAGGCACTTCCTGCTTTCAGCCGCTTTGATAGAATTCAGAGCGAGAAGGTGCTAAGAGGTCAGACATAGCTCAGAGGAGCACAAGCTGTTTGAAAAAAGAACATTTTGATTTCAACTTATTGAAAAAGCACAATTAGGAATTGGGAAAAACAGCAGAAAGTTTGTTTTATTTATTTATTTTTCCCCCCAATCCTTTCTAAGTTTAGAGGCCTCTAAACTAAGCCAACATTGGCTTCCCATTACCGAGGATGCAGAGCTGAAAGATGAGCCCCAACTTATGACAACATTAAACATGGATTTTATGTGTTCATGAATAGCACTTCCCTCCATTCTTCATCTTTTTTTTTGTTTTGCTCTTAGAAAGGAAAATTTAGCAAAGATATTTAGGTTCCTGCTCCCTTTGTGTATTTTACCCAGGGCTGGAAACAATTTTAAAAATGTAATTTCGATGTTTTATAAAAGTGCTTAGAGGAACTGGGTATGTGTTCATTTTTTTCATATCCCTTCATTTTATTCCAAATGAAAAATACTGGATTGTTTTGAAGCCAGCACTGTGCACTGTAGCCTTCACAGCTGCGCAGCAGGTGAAGATGCTGACACACTTTGGATGCCTTCTGTGTGCCAGGCACCATATCTACTTACTCTGTGACATTTGCTTCTCAGTGACCTGATGAGGTGCATTTTGATTATCCTATCCAATTTGAATCTAAGAAGTTCAGTAACAAAAGTTCTACCATCAGTCAGAGGCAGAAAAGGTATTTGCAGGCCAGACTCCAGCATTGTTTTATGTTCTTTTCATTGTACTGTGCTACAAAACTCAAAACAAACAAAAACCAGACCTCTTCAGGTTGAACTTAAGGAATATTACCTCTTAACCCTAACTTAAATTTTGCCTGAAGGAGACCTGTCTCCTTTTGCTTTGATGGTTGAGATGTCCCCTCCCTCCGGTCCCCAACTCCAATTACCTCCTTACCATCTAGAGATCTCTGTGGGGATGATGGGTGAGAGGTATATTTTGATTGAAGGTTTATTTGCATCCCTCAGAGGGAGGAAAAAGTTGTAGTGCTTCCATATTGCTGGAAGGAAGGAAGAGAAAGAGGGAAGGAAGAGAAAAGGGAGAGAGGAAAGGAAGAGAGAGGGAGGGAGGAGAGCCTCCTTTGGCTGGATGGTGGCTTATACCTGTAATCTCGGCACTTAAGAGGCCAAGATAAGAGGATCCCTTGAGGCCAGCAGTTTGAGACAAGTCTGGACAGCACAGGGAGACCCTGTCTCTTTAAAAAAATAAAAGAAGGAGAGCCTCCTTAATCCATCCTCTCCTCAGCATGTTATTATATCCCCCACCTCCCACCCCACTGTGCACATACGCTCTTCAGAACTCTTGCACAAACACACATTCAACACTCACAACTCACATATACAACATATATATACACAGCTCTATTTTTAGCTCTAAGGTTATCTTGCCCTAAAACAACCTGTGAAGATAAGGGTCAAAAAGTGAGGACAGCACTCTCTGCCAGGGCATGTGTTTATGTGATATTACAGAGAAATCCCAGCTCTTGTAACATCTGATCTGCAAAACTTTCTTTGTTCTTCTTCTTCTTTTTTTTTTTTTTTTTTTTTTGAGACAGAGTCTCATTCTGTCACTCAGGATGGAGCACAGTGGCACCATCTTGGCTCACTGCAACCTCTGCCTCTTGGACTCAGGTGATCCTTCCACCTCAGCCACCTGAGTAGCTGGGACCACAGGCACATGCCACCACACCCAGCTAATTTTTGTATTTTTTTGTAGAGACGAGGCTTTGCCATGTTGGCCAGGCTGGTTTTGAACTCCTGGGCTCAAGCAATCCAACCACCTTGGCCTCCCAAAGTGCTGGGACTACAGATGTGAGCCTCCGTGCTAGGCCGATTTGCAAAAGTTTCTTTTTTTTTTTTTTTTTTTTTTTTTGAGATGGAGTCTCGCTCTGTTGCACAGGCTGGAGTGCAGTGGTGCAATCTCGGCTCACTGCAACCTCTGCCTCCCAGATTCAAGCAATTCTCCTGCCTTAGACTCCCAAGTAGCTGGGATTACAGGTGTGTGGCACCACACCCAGCAAATTTTTGTATTTTTAATAGAGACAGGGTTTCACCATGTTGGCCAGGCTGGTCTTGAACTCCTGACCTCAGGTGATCCACCCACCTCAGCCTCCCAAAGTGTTGGGATTACAGGCATGAGCCACCACCCACCTCAGCCTCCCAAAGTGTTGGGATTACAGGCATGAGCCACTAGGTTTGGCTGATTTGCAAAACTTTCTAAAGAAAATTGAAAGGACACAATTTCGGCCCACCAGAGGAGGTGGGAAACTCTGCAGTCAGTCCGAGAAGCCCTTAGACCCTCCCCCAGGGCTTTTATGTTGAGCTGCAGGAAGTTCTGGAGTTGGGCAAAGAGACTGGACTCCCCGGTGTACCCAGTGCTGTTTTTTTGTTCATGCAGCCTGTGATTCATAGCTTCCCTGGGGTGTTGGGGAGAATCACATTTGGGTCAGCCAGGTTTAGCACTGACAGTTTTGTCTTTAGAATCAAGCAGATGTGGAATCAAATCTGGCTGTATCCATGACCAGCTCTGAAGCCATGAGTGGGTTACATAGCTTTAGAGCCTCAGCATACTCATCTGGAAAGTGGAAGTGATCATGTCTATTTTGCAGAGTTGTTGCCACTTTTCCTCTCTGGACCCCACTTTCCCCATCTGTCAGATGAAAGAGTGGGATGAGATGGCCTGTCTATTTATCTCTCAATCACAATGGCTCTATTTGAAAAAAGTTTGAACTGCCCTAAGTGCTAAAAAGGAAGATGGGGAGCCATCAAGACAAACTTAGGCCTACATTACCATCGAGTTCAGAGAATGGCAGACCGGAAGCACCAGCCAGCTCCACTCCAGGCTTTTCACAGCAGCCACTTCTAGAGGCTCCATAACTTTAAGGGCACTTCATGTTAGGTCAATGAATAAATTTTGCCAAATGATGAGCTTGGAAAAACCATGCCCCAAACACCAAATTATCCTGCACACAGAAGCTTAAGGGTGAGGTTAAGGCTTGTTAGAGATTAATGCAAGTTCTAATTAAAAAAAAAAAAACAAACCCACAGCATATATAAGCACAAAGTATGCTTTATACCTCTGAGCCCTGGCCTGAACCCCAGAGGACCACGTCTGTATTGACCCTGCACCTCCATGGTCGGAGACTGAGGATGACATGCTATCTGGATAAAATGTCAACACCAGGGCAGACACCAATTCATGCAGCTGAATGTCTGCTGTGTTGTGCTGAGCCCTGCCCTTAAGGAACTCACCTGTGCATCCAACATTGAGCATTTGGTATATGCTTAGTGAGGGACTATGATGCACCAAGCACCAGCTAGGAGTGGGAATGGGGAGATGGTTACAGCCCTTGCATAATTTAGTCTAGAGAAACAGTACACAATGATAATAGTCTGATACATTGTCCCTCAGGGGCAAGGGGATATGTAGGTTATATTACGGACTCTCAGAATTATGACCCCTAGGCTCACCTGGAGCAGAGAGTGGCAGTAGAGGTAGTTAGTCACATGAAGATAGAGGAGACTGGAAGAACTACATGTGTGAAGGTGAAAAGGAGGAGGTGATTTGGAGAACTGCAGGTATTCAGTTCAGTACAGCTTGGATGGCTGCTAGGAACCAGGGAATGGAGGGCACGCTTGAGAGTGGAAAATACCTTTGGGATCAGTCCCAGCTCCTCATTTTGCAGGTGCATTAGGCAGCCACTTTGTGTCAAGGCCTTTCCTTAGCTGCTGTTCTCCCCGCACCCCACCCCGAAATCTGCACCTTGCCCCCACCCACCTTCTTTAGAAGCCTTTCCTGACTACCCTGTTTAGAATGACAACCCCCTCCTCTGACACTGTTCTCCCTATGCCCCTTTGCAGCCTTACGTCTCACCATCTGACATACTACATACTTACTTGCTTTTTTGTTTCTTCCAACTAAATTATAAATTCTGGCTGGGTGCAGTTGTTCATGCCTGTAATCTCAGCACTTTGGGAGGCCAAGGCAGGAGAATTGCTTGAGCCCAGGAGTTCAGGATCAGCCTGGGCAACATAGTGAGACCCTGTCTATATATATATATATATATAAATGATTAAAAAAGGCTGTAAATTCCCCGGGGGAGAGATTTTTTGGTCTCTTCATTCACTACTATATCCTACTTCCCAAAATAATGCCTGATACCTAGTAAGTGTGCAATAAATATTTGATAGATGAATGAATGAATGAATTTCAGGTCTTCTGACACTCGGGCCATCCGCCTTTCCATTCTGATCAGAACTTTTTTTGTCTCCTCATCACGGACTTGATAGATTGCTAAGGGCCTGTGTAATGTAGGGAAAGTCTTTGCTCCCTCTTTGCTGAGCTCTCTCCCTATTGACCCTTTACTGTGCTGTCCCAGGAGAACTGTTTGTGTGTCAGAGGGTTTGTTGGGTGCCAAGGAAATGGAAGTGGCTGTGCTCTGACAGCCCTTTCTCTGGGCTGTGCTTGTTAGCCATTGAGGTTTTGTTCAGCATGTATGGCGCCCTGGAGCCTAGGGTCTGGTATGCCCACGAGGTGTACCCACAGATCCTGGGAGCAGCTGTAGAAACTCCTTTGGGGAGCAAGATTGTTGTTTCCAAGGGGAATCTGTACCAGATGTTTTTCCTCTTTTTTCTCCCTATATCATTCACTCACCCCACCACACATCCATCTATTTCTGAGTACCTCTTCTGTGACAGACCCTGTGTGAGTGCCTGGGGACACCAAAAGAGCTCATAATTTTGTGTGGAAAGCCAGAGAAGTAAATAGTGGCCAAACAGCTGGATGCATTCTCTGCTTAGGGGTGGACTCAGGGGATGGAAGTGGCCCTCACCTCTGCTATGAGGTATAATGAGTCAGCTCTTAGGCTCCCTTCAGCTTCAGATCAGGTCAGAGATTATTCCACTGTAACTCTTACAAAAGCTGTACGCTTGTGTTTCAAATGTGGAGGTTGATGGAAGTGTGTGCAGGTGAATTAGAGGAGTCTGAAGTTCTAAATGTCCCCTGGAGGTTGTCCTTTGGTGTTTTGCCCTCAAACTGCCTCTTTTCTCCAAAGACAGAGGTCCAGTATAAAAAGACTAAGACTTTATGTGAAGCAGTAATTCCCTAAGGAAGCCAGGCGGTTCTGTGCTTAGAGCACAGACTCAGAAAGAGGCAAATATACTCAATGTACATCATATCTCTTGGTTACCTTGAGCAAGTACTGTGGCTTCTTTTAGCCTTGATTTCTTCATCTGTAGAATGGGCACAGTGGTATCCACCTAACAGGATTATTGTGACAATTGCAGGTAATGTAATTTAAAGCACTACTGGCCCAGGGGCTACACCAATGCTCAGCAAAATGGTGGTTTTCTTTCCTCCCTCTGATAGTGACAGAAGATAAGATAGGATTTTCTTCTAAAGGAAAAGTCAATCGAAAATTCTTTTGTCCTGAAAGTAGTTAAAGAACATTCCAGAGAGATTCTACAATATGTTTGCAAGCTACCCACCAGGCACATGAACCAGAGCCCAGTGAAAGCCATAGAGGAAATTAGAGAAGGGAGAAAGTTTCTCACTGGGTGTCAGTGGTCTGGACTGGCTTCCAGGAAGAGGGTAGGCAGGGACCTAAGGAAGGACAAAAGCCTTCTTTTCACTCTTAGCGGAGCTGTCCCAAGAGCAATGGAAATGAAGTGAGAGGACAGTACAGACCTGTTCCACCAGTATGCAAATCATGTAATGAAACACAAATGACTTAGCAAGAACGAATGTGACTCACACACTCATCTGACTCTGCTGGTTCAGACCAGAGGAACAGCCTCAAGTTCAGTCGGACCTTTCTAAGGAGGTTTTGTTGGAATTCCACAAGACCCTAGTTCTGAAGGTAGGACAAAGAAGGAGAAGAGAACTGCACTGACAGAGTGAGTTCTACATGCCAGGGCCTTACATACATCATTTTGGGGTATGGGAAACAGACATACATCTTTCTTTTTCTCATATCCACAATCAGCAATTTTTTTTTTTTTTTTTAGCAACGGAAAGCGAAATCTTAATACAAGAAAAGGCCTTTAAGATTATATACAAGCTGTACGTAGCAGAGAAAAGGTTCCAATCTAGTTGCTGTGGCTGCAAATCACTTTCTGCGGTGTCATTGTGGGGCTTGGGAAGTAGTTTCAGAGGGCTGATTCTCTAGCCCAGAGGCCTTCATGCAGATGAGGAAGTGAATGCAGATAAGCCAGAATGTCAGCAGTAGACTAGAAGAGGTCAAGATGATTAGACTTTCAGGTTTTGTCCAGCTCTACTTACCCTTTCAGGGCACCTAGGACTTTACTAAAGCCCCTCTGGGTATTCTGATCTGGGAAAGTGTGTTTTGGTCTAGAATAGGGGGATGACATCATCTATCAGCAGGGTTTGACTTCCTTTCTTGAATAAGTTGTACCTGTCTTCTGTGGAGTGGGAATAAATGGAGCCTCCAGAGTTACTTGTCCCCAGGCTCCAGAATGTACTCACTGATCCTAGTGAGGCCCAAACCTGTGGCCTGGAGTGGCTTGTGTGAACTGGGTTCTACACTGGCAAAATCCAATCCATTTGACAGCAGTGAAATTGGAGTGGGATGGAGAAGGTCATCGTATCCTTTCATCAATCCCAAAGCCTGTTGCTACTGGCTTTTTTCTCATATCAGATGTAGCCACTGGATGGAAAGTCATTGTGCAATCTCATTCTCGACTCTTCTTTAAGTTTCACCAAAACTTACTTGTTTTGGTGAAATTGCCACAGTCATTGAGTAAATGTCATTCACCAGGGCAGAAAGGTAACCTGGATTTCTGAAAAGTATCCTGAGTGCCCGTCCTGTGCCGGACAGGTTCCTTTCCATGTCATCTCCTTTGATCCTGGCAACCCAGAGAAGGAGATAGTACTGTTCTACCTATTTTACAGAGAAGGAGACTGAGGCTTATAGAAGTAAACTGACCACCCACTTAGTAAGTGACAGAGCCAGGACTGGAATCAGGGCTATTGTACCCCAAAATGCACTTTACTATTGCACTGCTTTCCCCAAAATCCCCTGCTGCAGACACCAGGATCAGTGCTGACCTTGAGGCATTCCTCCATAAATGTGTTAGTTAACTGATGGATATCAGGGAACAAGCTCTCATCTGCTTACTGTGATGTCTGACTGACTGCTTCCCAAAGGCGTTCTTTTCCCTTGGCTCCCTACTCCTTTCTCATTCATAAGCACTCCCTTCCTTTCTGGAGCTATTCTGATGACTGGTCTCTTCCTCTCTTCTCAAATTCTTATGGTGTATTTATTTTTTTCTTGTATTAAGCTCCAACCTTAAGTATCTGAATCAGGGGAAGGGGAGATGTGGGCTTTGTCCGGTTGGGAAACACGCCCTTCCTCTGCCCCACCCTTGATTTCCAAGGCTTGTGATCTAAGCCTGCATGCAGGGGCAGGGGGAATGGTTGAAGGACTCGTAACAAGCATTTTCCGAGGACCTACAGATTTTTCAGCAAGGGAATTTAGAAAATCTTGCCACTCCAAATTAAGAAATGTGATTAAAGAATAAAATCACCTATTTGTTGAGTAGTATTTCATGCTATCCTCTTGATCTACATTATCAACCAACCTGGACCACAGCCTCTAAGAGAGTGGTTGCTACACTTATTTTATATGTGAGAAAATGGAGGCTCAGGGAGGTTTTCCTGATTAAAATCTGTGCTCTGTCTGTTATGCACCCCACCCTTGTCCACTGCCAAGAATAGCTGAGGGAAGGCCAAACATACTGAGTACACTGCAAGTGGATGATTCCTTGTTCTTGAATTTGCCATTGTCCTGAAGACTTGTGTTGAGTTGGAGCTAGACTAACACCGTCTTCATCCCCATTTCCAAAAGGAGGCATATTTTCATCCACTGGTAGGTCATTAAGGGAGTAGTCTTTGGCCTATATAGCTCCAATTCACTGACTTTGGTATTGCCTATAGTGACCCAGTCTTGCCTAGAGCTCTTGAAAAGCACTGAGAGTGTGGTACTCAGTGCTTTGCATGAAATCATTTAATTTTTCACCATTGCTTACAGTAATATTTTCCAATTGTGATTCAAATAGGTAGATGTTCTCTGAAAATAGTGATTAAAGGTCAAATAAGTATTCTTTCCTTCAGGACTTCTCAGAGGCTTTAGTAATCTTATAAGCATGATAATTGACAAAAATAAGGATTTAGTATAGAACATTCACCTATCTTTTTTGAAGAAACCCTTAATATTCAGTGGAATATGGTTTGGGAAAGACTGGCCTCCAAAATAAGGTCTGGGTTGCTTAGTTTGACACTGAAAGCCCTTCGTGAACTAGGCCCTCCTTGTCTCTGCAGCCCTATTTCTCACCACTGCTCACCCACCTTCCCCAACACCCTCTTCTCCAGCTATACTGAACTATTTGAAGTTTTGGGGAACTTCTGTGGAAGGCCTCTGAGCCACCCCTCTGCCTGGAATATATATCCCCCACTCCTGCCCCCTTAAACCCAGCAAATACTCATTCACCTTTAGGATTCTGGTCAAGTATCCCTTCCAAATAGTAATTGACCCCAGCCTCTAACTTCTTTCATAGCTCCTATAAAACACATTAGTATACTTATTTATTTTCTTGTATCCCTCAACTGTCTGCTCTATATGTCAGGATTTATAAATCCTCATTTTTCTTTGTCTTTAGCACTTTTCATAGTGCCTAGCTTTTTTCTTTTTTTTTAAATTTAATTTAACGTATTTATTTATTTATTTATTTTGCCTAGTACCACAGATTTGGTCTTTTAGATTATCTTTAGAATAATTTTTTCCCCACATCTTTTTCGGATGTCCATGGCAATCTAATAGTATTTACATATCAACTTCTGAATTTAAAAGTTTAGTGTTCTAAGTAAAATTCTCCCTCTCTGTCTCTTCAAATTGTCCTTTACCTCCTTTATTCCATAAAGGCTCTATGCTATCTTCTTTTACATTTTTAACTGGTTATTATTTATATATGAGAAAACCATTGTTTTTATCCCTTGTTTAGCAGGCAACGGCCTCAGTGTGATCTTTTTTGTCAGTATTCTTATTTTTTCCTCTTAAGTTTTTCCAATAATACATTTTTATAATTTCAAAATGATTATAAAGTAGTCTGCTGTCTTCCATGTCTGCTTATTTGAAATAGTGTTCCACGTAGTTGAGGATTCAGTCCTAGACACTTATGGCTAAGAATGATTCTGGGATCTTCCACTCTTCTGTCTCATCAAGACTGGCCACTGGCTTGCTCTTTTCTTGCCACCGAAGGAAGGTGTCCATCTGTCCCAGGAAGGACAAACTCATGTCTTCAGCACTGCCACAGGTCTATCTTTAGGCCATCAGCCACCTCCCCTCCGCTCTCTTCCCTTCTCCTGCCTCTCCAAGTGCTTTGATTTGTAGTCGGAAGTTCCTCTTGTCCACTTGCCTCTTCCCCCTCATTTCCCAAGTTCCCACAGGAACCTGGGAATAGGTTGTGCCCAGAGGTTAGAACGGAAACTGCAGCAAGATAACTCTGAGGGGACAATGCCCAGTTGACGTCATTTCAACTACTTTGCTTCAGCTAGAGGTGGTTTTTTTTTTAATCTTCCATTTTTCTTCAGGTTACTCTTCTACTCCACCCTGTCTAGTGTCTGTCAACTTCTATTTGAAAATTCCCTGGCATTGTCTCGTTGGTTTATTGTTTCCTTATATTCTCATTCAATATCCATAGTTCCAAGTGGTGACTTAGAAATGTGTCCTTGATAGAGTTGCTTTCTTCTGAAGCAGAAGCATCTCATTGGGGATATAATAACTTCCTCTTATCATTGCATATTTAATTTCCGTGCTGACACCAGGTAGTGTAGGGATTATATAGCCGTAATCCCCAGGGAAATACACAAATGTGTTAAGTAAGTTGTCATCAATTGTAAAAAAAGAAACCTTTACAAGCCCTGGTTACTGCTCTTTAATTATTAGTTTCAGTCAAGAGGAAGATAAAAGGAAACTATCATTTATTACGTTCCTACTATGTGGCAGTGTGCTAAGGCCATTTACATATATTATATTGCTCAGCTTTCCCTGGTTTATCTCCCTAGATAAACTCTATTTTTCCTATTTTTTAGTGTGAGAACTAAGACTCAGCATTTATTTATTTATTTACTTACTTACTTACTTATTTATTTTTTTGAGGCAGAGTCTCACTCTGTTGCCCAGACCGAACTGCAGTGGTGCGATCTCGGCTCACTGCGACCTCCGCCTCCTGGGTTCAAGTGATTTTCCTGCCTCAGCCTCCTGAGTAGCTGGGACTATAGGCACATGCCATCACACCCAGATAATTTTTGTATTTTTATTACAGATGAGGTTTCACTATGTTGGCCAGACTGGTCTCAAACACCTGACCTCAGGTGATCTGCCCACCTCAGCCACACGAAGTGCTGGGATTACAGACGTGAGCCACCGTGCCTAGCCAGGCTCAGCATTTAAATAACTGGCTTGAGGTCATGTTCAAATTGCTGTATCTACAACATGCCACCCAAGGTCCAGATGATCCCTGTTCGTAGAAATGTAGTGTGTGTCACCTGGGGTTATAGTGCATGTGAGTGGGGAGTCACTTAATGTCTGTTCCTTTTTGTCTCCTTTCTCCAGCTATACCTGCAGGCCCGCTTCACTTGGCGAGGAGCCCGCCTGCTCCGGCCCCTCCTGCAGTTCACCTTGATCATGATGGCCTTCTACACGGGACTGTCTCGCGTATCAGACCACAAGCACCATCCCAGTGATGTTCTGGCAGGATTTGCTCAAGGAGCCCTGGTGGCCTGCTGCATAGTAAGTAGCATCTTGTCCTCAATATGCAAGTGGAGCCCTGGACTGTTGCTTGTTAAATGTTTCCAGCTCAGTGACTAAAGCTAGAGAGCCCTCGTTCCTGTCCTCTGCTTGGTGTCTGAAGAGTCACCTGGCCTTAGGCCTTAGGCCTTAGGACTCCTTCAGTAAAATGAGAATAATTCCTGCTTCTTCCCAGCCTGTGAGTTTTGATCTGATAGGGTCTGTAAATCTCTGTAAATACAGAGGTTTTGGGCTCGTAGAATGTTGCAATTGGAAGAGAGCTGAGATATTGTCCAACTTGCTCATGTTATAGATGAGGAAATTTAGGGAAGAAACTTACCCAAGGTCATGTGTCAGCAGGTCATGCTTAGTGTCATGCTAAGTCTGTTGACCTAGTAGCAAGATCTAAGTCTCCTGACTCGAGTGCTCACATGCTGTTTTGGTGGACACAGTACGCAATGGGACTTCTCCGCTTCTTGGAAAATGCCTCCTCTTCCCTCTGTGACCTTGGGAGTGACTCACACAGACCCTAAACTCAGTGTTCATTGGAGAAGAGGAGGTTATCTGAAGGCTGAGCCCTCTCTCAGCCTGAGGCCCTCGTACATCGAGTCACAGACTTCCTAGGGATAACTTGGGATGGACCACATACTGATTTGCCCCAAATGAATGGGTTACCTTTTCACATACTTCATCTCTGACTCCAGGTGAAGGTGGGAGAAGGCATTGCACTTCTCTGAGCCTCCATCTGTAGGCACTGCTTTTCCTGCCTGCTAAGAGTTTTGAGGGGCTTATTCAGCGAACATGACTGAGCACCTACTTTGATATTGTGACTTCCTGGGCCCTACTGAGGGGAGCTCACCCCAGCCCAGCAGGAATCCCAGAGTACAATAATGGCTGGATATTTAAGCACCACACATGTAGGTTGTATTGTTGTTAGTATTATCCTTGCTCATTCACAGTAAGAATTATGAACAATAGAGAGATCTAAACCAGCTTCTTATCCTTTCCTGGTTTCTGAGCCTGGTTGCAGGCTTATGTCTCACTATGCAGCCTCTCCCCAGCTCCTCTGTAACAGCACTTAACACTCTGGATTGAAATTGTCGATGGGTGTCTTCTTTTAGGCTGTAAGTTCTTGGGGGCAGGGACCATGTGTAATATATATGTTACTCTCCCTATCTTATCAAGGCCTCTCAGGGATTCTAGCTCAGACTAAGCAAATGTGTGCCTAACAAGCAAAAAGCCAGAATCAATGAGTTGATCTAACCTTTCTTGAGAACACTGTAGGAAGTTATTTCTTGAAGGTATAGGAATGAATAAGGCTCAGCCCTCCCAAGGAAATTCCATCCTTGCTCCTCTCACAGCCAGGCCAAGCACAGGAGCTTAATGCTGTGGGGGCTGTCATAGTGACATGTGTAGGGGGCTTCAGCAGGCAGGGAAGCACCTGACTCCATGTGCAGGGGTCAAGAAGAGGGAGAAGGAGTTGCAGCAATCAGAGTGGGCACCACGAAGAAAGCAGTGTGTGAACTGCCTGCAGCCTTTGACATGGGAATCCCAGCCTACTGGACTGGCTGTTTTAATGGCTTTCTCCCTTGCTTTCTTTTTCTTTTTTCTTTTTAAAAGTAAAGGCCAGAAGGGAGAGAACCTGGGGGAGCAAACCGTTAATGAGAGCAGCTGTCACTGACCGGCTTGTTCTCTGGTGCCTGGCCCTTTAATGTGAGGTGACAGTGGGGGATGGGTGTTTGCACTGAAGGGTAACCCTTTGCTGACTGTGCCCTTCTGAGCTTTGCTCTCAGCAGGAGGACAGCCCGCGGGGGCCTGCTGTTGTGGTTCCTTCTTGGCGCCACTGCCCTAATTGGAGTCCCCTGCACCCCCAGTTAAAAAAATTAAAAGGTTGGGGGATCCTTACTAGCCTTCCTCTCTTTTATATCCTAAAACATGGGCCATAAGCAATTAGACAGAGCGTTCGGGAGGACTATGGCTTATTTCCAAGAAGTGAAATGAAGGTTCTGACTTGTGTCCTGTTTGGCTCTCGCTGACTGTAGCACAGTATAGGAATTTGATCCTAGCGTTTACAAAGCACCTACTCTCTGCTGGTACCATTCTGATACTTTACCCATTGTCTTCCTTTTTTTTTTTTTTTTTTTTTGAGAGTCTCGCTCTCTCACCCAGGCTAGAGTGCAATGGCACGATCTCGGCTCACTGCAACCTCTGCCTCTCAGGTTGAAGATTCTTCCCCCTCAGCCTCCCAAGTAGCTGGGATTACAGGCACCCACCGTCATGCCTGGCTAATTTTTGTATTTCTGTAGAGATGGGGTTTCACTGTGTTGGCCAGGCTGGTCTTGAACTCCTGACCTCAGGTGATCCGCCCGCCTCAGCCTCCAAAAGTGCTGGGTTTACAGGTGTGAGCCACTGTGCCCAGCTGCCCACTGTCTTCTTTTAGTCACATTAAGCCATTGTACTACAGCCATTTTACAGAAGTAACTAGCTCAGAGAGGTAACTTAAGTCATCCAGGGTCAGAGAGCTAATAGACAGCTGCACCACGATTCTCATGGACTCAAAGCTATGCCCTCTGCACTCTGCAAGGAGAAGGGGTCCCTGAAGCTGAAGGCCCTGCAGTTAACCCGAAACAGAAGCTCCATAGTTAGCTGCTTAAAGAGTATCATTTAATTGTGTCACGGAGTCCTTCCTAACCCTTTGGGTGGATCCAGTTATTGCTTTGAGTTTGAAAGCCTGATTTACAATGTAAAGATGGTTTGGAAAGGGGTGATAAATCTCTTTCCCTGCCTTTTACTCACTCACCTGTGAACATGCAAGAACAGGGACTCAATCTTACCTATCATTTTTCTCCAAATGCCTGACACCCAGCCTTGTGCTCAGTGGGACCTCATGGTCCAGAATGGCTTGGAATCGCAGCACTGAGAGATTCATTTCATTGAAGCCATCTGAGAGGCCAGGACAGGGAAGTGCCTGGAAGCTGTGGCTACTGAGAATAAAAGTTTGGAAATGTTCAGCTGGGAGGAAAGAAGGTAGTGTCTTTTCCAGCCGTAAGCTCCCAGGATTCTGTTGTCCTGGGTTTGATTGTGAGGGAGACAGAAGCAAAGCTCAGGACCCTGGATTGAGGAGAGATGGGTAGATCTGTGAGGAGGTGTGGGGAACCAGAGACCATGTGATGAAGGCACCAGGTGCCTGGGAGAGGGAACTATGAGTAGGATGACAGGCATCTGCCTCATGGGTTTTGCAGCTTTATCAGGGTTGTGCAATGTAGCTGTCACGTGCCAAGCAGGAGTCTGTGACCTCTGCTCTGCTTGTGCCACATGACAGAACTCTTCCCCACGAATCAGGGCCGCTGTCCCAGGGAATGCCAGGAAGGAGCAAAGTTCTCTTCTTACTCACAACTATGGCTGTATTGAATGGTTTTTGAAACACAGAGACATCACCTGAGGTTAAGAGGATTGATAAAAAAGCAGCATGTATGGCACAAAGGCCACCACTTGAGGTGCCAAGAAACACAGAATCCATTTTCCAGTCTGCCAGATAACCTCCTGAGCCAAGCCTTTACGGACTCCCTGTTAATTGAGTTGTAATCTTCGCTGACATTTGCTGAGAGCCCAAGCACTCAGAGAGAAGGTAGCAAAGCTGGAGTTGACCCCAGACAGCCTGACACAGAGCTGGCACTCCAAGACCCAGGCTTTGGCAGGTCTCCTCTCATCTCTCCACCCCTTCACCTCCCGGCATGTCAAACATTTCAATATTTTCCAACACCTGAGTTTCTGTATTAGATACCTGTCCCCTTTGATGGAACACAGTTCCAGTGTCACCTCATCTCTGATGAAACCTTCTGTATTAGCTGCCTCTGGCTGCTGTAACAAATTACCACAAATTTAGTGGCTTAAAAGAATGCAAGTTTCTTTTCTTACAGTTCTGGAAGTTGGGAGTTGGAAAAGGGTCTCACTGAGCTAAAATCAAGGTGGAACACATTCCATCTAGAGGATCTAAGGGGAGATCTGTTTTCTTGCTTTTTCTAGCTTTCTGGAGCTACCTGAGTTCCTTGACTCATGGCCCCATTCTCCACTTTCAAAGCTAGCAGCATAGAATCTTCACTTCTCCCTCTCTCTCTCACACACACATATACTTTCTCTGGCCTTTGCATCCATTGTCACACCTTCTTCTGTGACTTTTGTCCTTTTGCCTCCCTCTTTTACAGATGCTGGGACCACCTTGATAACCCAGGATGATCTCTCCATCTCAAGATCTTAACTTAATCTCATTTTATCATGTAGCATCATTCATTGCTTCTGGGACTTAGGATGCGGGCATCTTTGGGGGACATTGTTCAGCTTTCCACAACTTCCCCAGTCCCTGGAGACAGTATTGTCTCACTTCCTTCCAGTCCCCCATGGCCTTTTGCACTTTCTTCCTACCATGGCTTTAGGCCTCATCTACTCATGGCCTGCTCATATGTCTGTCTCTTCAGCTAGATTGTGGGTGCCTTAATAGCAGAATCCATGGCTTAACCTTCTGATTATTTATTCTCGGTATGTAGTACAGCAGCTGACACAATAGGTGCTTCATCAGCATTGGGTAAATGGTGAATGATGAATTAGCTTGTGGCTTCAGGCCAGACACTTCCCTTCTGGGCCTAGTTTCCTCACCTGTGAATTGAAGCTGGAGGCCTTGTAGCTCCATGACCTTTGTGCACAGACATTCTATGGCACAGCTGACTTTGTAGTAACTGACTGAGGTACAGTGCATTAACCCTAGAATGCTGGTTCCATAACTGCAGAGCCTTAGGCAACAGGCATGACAGCCGAGAACTTTTACCTGGGTCTGTTGAGGGTAGATCCTGTCACAACAGGCAGACTTGTCTAGACAAAAATCACATGTCAAATGGAAGTCTGGTTTCCTCCTCCATTGCTTACTAATTGAATGCTTTCCAGAAAAGGAAGACAATGGAAGCCAGCACAGACAGAAAACCTATACAGTGTCATGAACTCAACACAAAGACACAAGCACTTAGGGTCGGATAGGCCTGCCTGCACACCTTCAGAGATCTGGACAGAGGTACACAGGACAAAGGAGAAGGCCACAGCCCAGATAGACCATGAGGTGCATGGGCAGACCCAATCGTACTCAGAACCACAGACACACATAAACAGACAGACGAATAAAAAAAAAACACAGGCTCATATTGGCTCTCCCAGCCCCCTCCCGCCTACACACTCACTAAGTTACCCCTACCAAAGATGTGAACTTTACAGTTGGACTCACACAGGGACTAGGACGAAGGAACAGACATCGGTTCATTTCCTGTCTGGTGACAACTTGCATATCTGGTCACCTCCTCCCTGACCCTCTAACAGATGGCAAATTAGGGGCCCCTGGGAGGGGTCAGGGGAGGGCCCGGCTGCCATTGCTGTGGGTTCAGCAGAGGAAGCAGCTGCTCATGGATTTCGTAAATACACAGCAGAGTCTTTCCTGGTTTTCCTCTTCCCGGGGGTGTGGCTCCGCTTGCCGTTGCTCTTTTGTGTGCTGCTATCTTCCTCCAGATGTAGGGAAGGGCGAGGGCGTTCTTTGTCTCTGCCCCAGTGAGGTGACCTTGGGAAAAGACACCAGCAAGAATGCCAGTGTGAAGAAGAGTTCAGCGATGACAACCCCTGCAAAAGGAAACTGCAGTGCAGGGAGAGGCCAGGACACGCCCAAGGACACATAGTAGCAGAGTAGGAACCAAATCCCCAGTTTCTTGATTCCATCTAAAGGGCTAAACAGTAAATTCCAAGCATGCTTAGCCATGGATTTGCAAGGCCTCTTCCTTCTCTAACAGGAGAGAGTCCCATCTATTCCCTTCTGATTTACTCCAGGGCTGCCTGGGCACAGGGGAATGGATGAAATGAGCTCCCAAACCTCTTCTGGCCCTGCAGAAGTCTAGCTCTTTGCCCAGTAATGTGACCTTGAGGTAATCTGATCTTGCCACTGCTGGCCCCCACTCTTAGGCAGGCAGAAACATGGATGTGGGAGAGAGAAGGAAGCAAAGAAATAAACTTTGGCCGCCAATAGATAACGACACTATCTTTGTAGTACTCTACAACTGTTCAAAATACAGTTGACCTTGAACAACATGGGGACTAGAGGTTCCGACCTCCAGCACAATAAAAAGTCCAAATAGAACTTTTGACTCCCTCAAAACTTAAAACTACTAACAGCCTAATGTTGATTGGAAGCCTTACTGATAACATAAACAGTCAATTAACATATGTTTTGTATGTTTTATGTATTATATACAGTATTCTTACAATAAAGTAAGCTAGAGAAAAGAAAATATTATCAAGAAAATTATAAGGAAGAGGAAATATATTTACTATACATTAGGTGGAAGTGATCACCATAAAAGTCTTCATGCTGGTTGTTTCCATGTTGAGTAGGCTCACGAGGAGGAAGAAGAGGAGGGGTTGGTCTTGCTGTCTCAGGGTTGGCAGAAGCAGAAGAAAATTTGTGTTTAAGTGGACCCATGCAGTTCAAGCTCATGTTATTCAAGGATCAACTGTACTTATAAAACTTCCTTTCTTGTTCCCCTGCTAAGATGGATGAGCTGACGAAGCAGAGGTTCAGAGAGGAAGTTATATTCCTGCCACTTGCTAGGTAGGCTGTCAGGGCAAGTCACTTCACCTCTCAGCCACCTTTTCCAATCCCATGAGGTTGGGATGATAATGCCTAACATGATTTTTGGATTGAGGATTCAGAGAATTAAAGATACATCATGCTTGGCACATGCAACATATTGATTGTGAATTGTGCGTTAAGTACTATGCTTTGTTTAAAGATTCAGAGCTAAAAGGAGTTGGTCCTTAAAGAGCTTATCTAGTGCAGTAGCTTTCCAAGACTTGACCGCCATCTATAATAAGAAATACACTTTATATCATAACCCAATAGAGGCACCCACACGTAACTAAAACAAATATTTCACAAAATAAGACTTGCCCTTACTGTGTGAGAAATTCTGATATTTTCTATTAACCTTCAAAAATGCTGGTGGTAACCACCTAGTTAGTTGATTTTGTAGCTTGCTAATGGCTTGAGAATGATCTAGTAGGAATAGACATGTAAACAGACAAGTATGATAGAAGGGCACGGCTGCTGGGATGGGATACACTACTGAGGACAGTGGGGTTACAAGAGAAGGGGTGATTAATTCTTCTTGAGGGTGTTGGAAGACTAGAAAGAATTTTTAGAGTAGGTAATTATTTAAAAATGAATGGTCATTTGCTGTAAGATACAAAAGATAAGGAAGGGAATTCCACGCAGAAGGAATACCATGAAGACATGGCGATGGGTGAGAACATGATATGTTTTGTGACCCTAGAAATGCAGAACAACAAAACTTGGGGGATAATGGGGAGAGGTGACCTCAATGAATAGTAGCCTCATTCTCCCTTTCAGCTTCAAAATTGGATGGTTTCTGGGAATGGGGTCCCCTGCCTTTGTTGAGCCTTGGTCATCTTTGGGTACTATGTTCCTAAGCTCCAGCTCCTACTGCATTTAGCACCCCATAGACAGAGCTGTCAGTCCCCTGGGTACTCCTTACCAGACACCCTCCCTAATAGCCTATGAATATTTTCCTGGAAGGTTCCTTGGCATAGATTCCTGTTCTCCATCAGTATTGCCCACAACTTTCTTTAAAGGGCGGGGGCGGGTCTTCCTATGTTGCCCAGGCTGGCCTTAAACTCTTGGGCTCAAGCCGTCCTCCCACTTCAACTTCCTGACTAGCTGGGACCACAGGCACACAGCAGCATGCTCCGCAAAATTGCTCTCAACTTTCTTTCCTCCTCTAAACCCTCTTTGTTCATTTTGTGGGACTACTTTTCTTCACATTCCTCAATAGCAGTGATGATGTGAATAGTCCTTCATAAGGCTGGGTGCGTAGTGGCTTACACCTGTAATCCCAGCGCTTTAGGAGGCCAAGGTGGGTGGATCACTTGACTTCAGAAGTTCAAGACCAGGCCAGCCAACATCCCGTCTCTACTAAAAAAATACAAAAATTGGCCAGGTGCAGTGGTGCACACCTGTAATCCCAGCTACTCGGAGGCTGAGGCACAAGAATACTTGGACTGGGGAGGTGGAGGCTGCAGTGAGTGGAGATCGTGCACTGCACTCCAGCCTGAGCGACAGAGCAAGACTCTGTCTCAAAATAAATAACTGAATGAATGAATGAGTAGTTCTTCATAGCTACAAAGTGTTTTCACATATATTCCATGTAAGCCTTACAGGAACCACAGGTAGGTGGATTTTTTTTGGTTTTTTTTGGAGATGGAGTTTCACTCTTGTTGCAGGCTGGAGTGCAATCACAGCTCACCACAACCTCCATCTCCCAGGTTCAAGTGATTCTCCTGCCTCAGTCTCCCAAGTAGCTGGGATTACAGGCGTGTGCAATCATGCCCAGCTAATTTTTGTATTTTTAGTAGAGACAGGGTTTCTCCATGTTGGTCAGGCTGGTCTCGAACTCCCCACCTGAAGTGATCCGCCCACCTCGGCCTCCCAAAGTGCTGGGAT
Source organism: Homo sapiens (assembly GCF_000001405.40). NCBI lineage: Eukaryota > Metazoa > Chordata > Mammalia > Primates > Hominidae > Homo > Homo sapiens. Next base: position 56,503,433 of record NC_000001.11, on the reverse strand, counting down.
TACAGCTGTGAGCCACCGCGGCCAGCCGGTGGATTTTAAAAATAACATTTCCACACAAATACAGGGCAGACCCATCATCTGCAACTATAAAACCTTTTAATCTTGTATAAATTCAAGACAAGTGTAACAGCTTGGATCACACACCAGTAGAAATTTTGGGACTATATTCTGCTGTCTGATTTCCAGTGTCACACTCTTTTCCACCTCATCATTTTCCCTCTCAGTTATACTAGGAAGTCACTCAACAGAAATGCTCACAAATTCCCAGTGCCAAAAGCCGCTGAAAGCCCTTTATTGAGGTCAAAAAATAATGATTGCAGTTGGATAATCCCATCTAGTTAAAAAAAAAACGGCTGCCAAAGATGGCTTTTCTTTAGATAGCACTTACTGTACTTAGGGCATGAGGGTGAGCCAGGTCCCAAGGCTTTCTCCTCCAAAGAGGGTTATTCCTTCCTTAATCCATGAGATTGTTCAGTATGGTAGACCAGAAAGCTAAAAGGAAATCCCAGGGCCAAATCACATGGGAATGCATGCAAAAGGAGCAACAGCCATGGTCTTTACGCTCACATGGTGGAGCTCTATTAAGAGCTACAGTTTTTGAACTCTGAAAACAGGGATGACTCAACACGATCCATGCCCTTGAGTAGCTAGCTCAGTCTAGAAGGGGAAATATGACACAGCATTTAAAGCGTCACGTATCAAAGCCTACGGCCTAACACTAAGATGGAAGGTTATTAAAGTTCAATATGGGTACCAAAGAGAGAAGAGAAGGGTGGTTCAAGAAAGGTAATGTTGTGCCCAGTGTAGATTGTCTAAGACACACAGCCATGCAATGGCAGATCTAGGATTTGAGCCCATCTGTTCATCTCCACAGATTGTCCACTAATGGCTCTTTTAACTGTACTCTGGATAACAAATAACTGTAGTGTTTGCTAAAATGCAGATTCCAGATTCTCAGTAGGTCTTAGATGGGCCCAGGAATCTGCTATTTCAGGAAGCTCCCAGGTGATTCTGAAACAGATGGTTTGAGGACAACACTTTAAGAAATACCAGAATAGATGATGCTCAATTTTCTTGAGGTTCTAAGATTCTAAAATTCTTCTGCTTTTATAGTTATCTACCCTTTGCTAGCATTTTAGCTCAATGTGTTACGTAAGGATGGGATTCCTATTTTCAAGGAGTTCACTTACACTCAGGGACCCTAGGAACATTTAAAGGATAATTTTATTGTCATAATCTGCCCTTAACAAAATTAACAAAATGACCCTCAAAATTTGCTGATTCAGCCATTCCTAGCAATGAAAGGAGGAACCTGGCTACCTACCAGACTTCTTATTTCTGGTGTACTTGGTTCTTGGTGACCTCTAGGCAGGCAGCACCCCAGCAGGGCTGGACTGTGTGTGCTCCCTGGAAGGCTGACATTTCCGGAGTGTGAATGCTGGCAGTAAGACATCGGAAGCATCTTCCTCTTTGAGTGTGCCAACTCTTGGCCAAAGATAGCTCTAGAAATTGTAAGAACTTTGAGAGCAGATTCTGTTTGTCCTATAGAAAACTCCCATCAGCATATTGCCTCTACATCCAGCTAGAATGTGTCAGATTTCACATGTTCATTCATAGTCTCAACCACTCTTTTTTCCCCCCTCTCTTTTTATCTTTTTCCAGTTTTTTGTTTGTTTTATCTCTTCATCACGGTGAATGGGGTTCTTACAGCTTAGAGTTGTCTTGTTTGTGTGTACTCATGCTCTTGAAGGAAGGGGCTACATTGTCCACAGTGCTTGGGTAAATTAGATCATATTCCACCCTGGGATCACAGAACAGTTTACTCCTTTTGACTCAGGAGGAGGTCAGAATCACTTCCCCACAGATAAATCCATAGAAACAGAAAGTAGATTGATGGTTACCAGGGGCTGGGGAGAGAAGGGAATGGGACATGACTGCTTAAAGTTTATGGAGTTTTATTTTGGGGTAATGAAATGTCTTGGAATTAGATAAAAGTGATGGTGGTACAACACTATACAGTACTACATGCCACTGGCGTGGGGGGCAATCACTCCCCCAAGACAATGTCACAGGCATAGGAAAGCAGAGTTATATATATTTCTTTCCTAGCATAGTTATCAAAATTTTAAGAGTTTTTATGGGAATAAGTGCAAAGATTTCTAGAGTTGAAAACAGAACTAGAAAGAAAAACATTGCCTCCCTCGCACACATACCCACCCCAAACATATAACCTCTATCAGCTGCAGTCCTGTCCTCAACATTTCAAAATCCATCTCTTCTTCTTTGTCTTTACTGTATAGGTGTTGTTCAGGACTCATCCTCCCCTAGACTCTGTAATCCCTGCCTCCAGGCTCACTGCATGCTTTTTGACTCCGTCTCCATTTTAGTTACCAACATGATTTTTTTTTTTTTTTTTTTTTTTTTTTGTCTGAGACAGAGTCTCGCTGTCTCGCCCAGGCTGGAGTGCAATGGCACCATCTTGGCTCACTGAAACCTCCGCCTCCCAGGTCCAAGTGATTCTTCCACCTCAGCCTCCCGAGTAGCTGGGATTATAGGCACCCACCATCATGCCCACCTAATTTTTGTACTTTTGTAGAGAGGGGGTTTCACCATGTTGGCCAGGCTGGTCTCTAACTCCTGACCTCAGATGATCCACCTGCCTCAGCCTCCCAAAGTGCTGGGATTTTAGGCGTGAGCCACTGCACCTGACCTCCAACATGATCTTAATGCAGGTCTTTCCAACATGTTGCTTCCCTGCTTTCACCTTGACAATGATTCCTAGGGCCAAAAGAATGAGATCTGAACTTTTAACATGTCCCAAGACGCTTTTCAATATCTAGTCCTCTCCTCTCCAGCCTCTTTGACTGCTCCGCCTTAGATATACTGAGCTTCCTGCAGCTCCTGGATGTGCTGTACTCCCTTTCTCCTGTACCTTTGCACACACTATTCCCTTTGCCTATAACATCCTAGCATTCACTGCCTGGTTAACTCCTCCTTATCCTTCAAAGCTAAGATCAAATAGACAACCTTTAGGAGAAGCCTTCTAAGGCCTGCTTCCCACTCCCCTTCAGTCTGGGTTAAATGCCACATTCTCTGTGCTTCCTCAACACCCTTGCTTCCCTCCATCATAATCCTTAATATGCTGTATTGTGGTCATCTGTTTACCTGGCTGTCTAACTCATTGGCCTATAAACTCCTTGAGGGTAAAAGACTGTCTTATATATATTCATCTTCATATTTTTGGAGTTTAACACATAGCAGGAATCCAATAAGTATTTATTGATTGCATTCATTCATTTTCCAAAAAAAGAGTAATTTATAAAATTCAAAGAATTGGAGAAACGGAATTGAAAACAAATGTTCTGCGCATCGTAACTTAGATCTCTTCTCTGTGCTTAGGGTATAGTTTTTCTTGTTTGTTGGAACTGTATTTATTGTCCAGTGTGTCCTTTCACACAGCAGAGATCTGTGGAGTAGGATTGTGGGCTGGCAGTGGGTTTATCCCACAGACCTAAGACAGCTACTTAATTTGTATAGACCCTTCCCAGCCTGGGCCTCTGGGTTTTCCTTCTGGGTGGAGATCATCTTCTGTAGGAAATGGAACTGCTTCAAGCCAAGAAGCTTTTACTTTTACTAGGTCTTTTTGTGTCCTGCTGTTCAAATATTAGGAAGACTGAACCCTGTTTCGGTCTTGACAGTATTACGTTTCGTGATCCCAAAAAAAAGTGTTTGTGTAACCTCAAGTCATGCTGAAAGTGAAATACAGCTTAAAGTGGGATTCTGCTGGACCTGACTCAACTTTTCACCTCACCGCTTGGCTCCGTGCAGGCAGTATTTGAGTATGTGGTTCCCCCTCAAGTCTGTAGGAGTTGTATTGTCAATAAAGTCCAAGGCCAGAGTGCTTGCTTTCTAGTAAGTAGAGAGAATTTTTGAAATTCAACGACAAACATTTATTAAGCCCTTATTGTGTACAGGGCTCAAAGCTAAGTGCTTTGGGTGATTCAGGGTGATTAGGGATAGGATTCCATCTTCAAGAAGCCTCCCATCTAGGAAGAAAGGTCGATAAGCATAGTTTTGGACACACGGGAGAGCATGGCTTTCTCTGGGCCCAGTAATTACTTTGGTATCCAGATCATTAGAGAACGGAATGCCTTCTATTGAACTATGTAACAGTCACAGGTTTAGATCTTCTCAAGTTATTATTGCCTTTAATCTTCATATGATTCCTATCCTGCAGTTAGGAAATGGAAACCCTAGGATATAGTGACTGTGAGCTCAGAAAATTAGGTTGGGAGATAAGCCAGTAGATTGAGGTGGTAGATTCTTCAAGATCTTGAAGGGGGGAAGGTGGGGGGGGGGGACGGGGGAGCTGTCCCCAGCTATATTTGCCCTTGGCAGATGGGATGGATTCTGGGAGAAAGCTCTAAGAAATTAGGCCTGTACGACTTATTTTCATGAATCTAGCTGCTAAGCTGGAATAAGTGAAGTTAAAAGTAGTGATGGGCCAGGCACGGTGGCTCACACCTGTAATCCCAGTTCTTTGGAAGGCTGAGGCAGGCGGATCATGAGGTCAGGAGTTCCAGACCAGCCTGGTCAGCATGGTGAAACCCCGTCTCTACTAAAAATATAAAAATTAGCCAGGCATAGTGGCACGTGCCTGTAATCCCAGCTACTCAGGAGGCTGAGGCGGGAGAATCCCTTGAACCTGGGTGGCAGGGGTTGCAGTGAGCTGAGATCGTGCCACTGCACTCCAGCCTGGGTGACAGAATGAGACTCCGTCTTAAAAAAAAAAAAAGAAAGTAGTGATGGGGAGGGATTGATCAAAACCTCTTCCTCTGAGACAAAGTGAAGGATAAAGGGGAGGATAATTTTGAGCTACAGATGAGGACATTGTTGTCTGTACCTCTCAGATGATAACATCATTTTAGTACAAAAAGAAGTAAGGCCACTGGGGGAGATAAGGGAAAATGTGGAGCTGGGGCTGGGGCTGGGCCTGGGGCGGAGAAGAGTTGAAAAGTTTAATTATCTTCTCATTGAACTTTAATCGAGTCTGTTTCCTTATACTGGGGACACTTGAAAACAGTTTCCCAAACCAACTACAAAGAATTTTCTGGCAGGGGAGCCTAGAGCCTACTGGCAGGTTGTGCACAGATCTTTTCTTTCCTGATCCTCAAGTTTGACTCTGACTAGGAGACAAATCTTTTGGTACCATGGTTTTCACTGTTCAAACCTCCTGACAAAAGAAAGGGAGAAAAGACTTAACTTTTTCCTTTGCAAAGTGGTACATCAATAGCACTCAAACTGTGAATGTATTAAGATGTTACACTTCTCGGCTAATATTTCATTTTCTTGTAGTAGCATAGAAATAGCCTAGCTTTTTTTTTTTAACAACAAAATAATACTTATTATATGTTTTGGTAGGTAATATATGCAATGGGTACAAAATTCAAAAGGTACAACAGGTTTTACAGTGACCAGTAAATGTCTGTTTCACCTTTGCCTTCTAGCCACCCAGTTCCCTTCTCTTGAGGTAACGAGCATCACCAATTTCTTGCTGTGATTTTTATAGCACTTTCTTGATTGCCGTGTTGCTACAGAAGGGACACTGTGAAAATGAGTTTAACAAATAATTCAAGTCCCTACTGTGGCCAGGCCCTGGATCGCCAGAGCCTTAGTTTTGGTAAAATCTTATTAAGAACTTCATTTTCTTGCCTATAATGTGGCCAGAGTGAAACCACAGTGCTGTCATTAGTAGTGAGCACATTACCATCTGCAGGACAAAGACTCATCAATTCAGAAGGCTGTTGGGTGTAGAAACTTTGATAGTGTTTTAGTCGCTATTTTGAAATCCAGCCAAGTGTTTCCTATTAAATTACATGACTGATAGCTGCCGCTTATGGTTACTTAGTAAAAACTCCTGTTGCTAAATGGCTCAAATGGATGTCTGTGTGTTTATTTTGCCATCTAATACAAAGCATAAATTTTTCTTACTCCAGTAGCTCATCAAACCCTTGAATCTTTCATCATAAGCACATTGAGGCAGGAACTATGCCTGTGCCATCCTCACACCTTTGCAAGTGGCACTCAATAAATGTTTCTCAAGTATTGTTCAGACTCAGTGAGGTCACATCCCCAGGAGGAAAAAGGACGCTGGGAATGAGTGATACGAGATTTGTCATTAACCGTTCCTCCACGTTTAGTTGCCAACTTTCTCAGCAACGAGAACCTGGTTTCTTGACCCCCGTCAAATGGTTGATATCACTAAGTTTTCAGGAAAAAGTAGTTACCACTGCCTGACTTCAGCTCTTGCTGATAGGAGTTCATGTTGGCTGATCTTTTTCGGTTACACCCTGGATTCCTTTGTGAGGAAAGGGAAAGTAGTGTGAATTAATGACTATCACTAATTATGACCTGCTTCCTTTGTTGAGGAACTTATCTTTCATTGCTATTCGTTTGCCTTGAGAAATAAGGAAGTATGGGTTGCAGATATGGGCAATGGACTGAGAGTCCTTAGAAGTGGATTCTACTGAACCAGTGTTGTGCAACCTGGGACATGTCACTGCCTTTTCCCGGGTCTCAGTTTCCCTATCTGTACAATAAACCTTGATGATATGATCTCTGTTGTCCTTCCCTATTCAAAGAGTTATGATTTGGGGCCCCTTTTCCTGAAGTCTGCGCTCCTCTGACCTTCCTTTTCCCTCTGTACCCAGACCCCCGATGTCAGTTACTGACTTCGATCTCTGATTTGTGCTTCTAGGTTTTCTTCGTGTCTGACCTCTTCAAGACTAAGACGACGCTCTCCCTGCCTGCCCCTGCTATCCGGAAGGAAATCCTTTCACCTGTGGACATTATTGACAGGAACAATCACCACAACATGATGTAGGTGCCACCCACCTCCTGAGCTGTTTTTGTAAAATGACTGCTGACAGCAAGTTCTTGCTGCTCTCCAATCTCATCAGACAGTAGAATGTAGGGAAAAACTTTTGCCCGACTGATTTTTAAAAAGGAAAAAAAAAATGTTTTACTATGTGGCCTTCCAAAATAGGTAGTGTTTGCCTATGTGGAAACAACAGCAAACTAACACCAAGTGCCAGAGTCCTGGATGTGCAATTGGTTTAAGTGTTCATGTTCTAGTGAACACAGCTTGTTCAGGAACAAACACTAAAACGATTTGAGTAGAGGCTGCTGGTCACCTTTTGTGACCTGAGGAATCCCAGGCCTGTGAGAAAAGCAAAAATTCACATTGCAGCACATGATGCCAGAAATAGCACTGAATCAAGAAAATAGCCATTGCGGAGCTGCCCTCTTGAGTCTTTCTGTCCATCCCATTCTATTCTGTACTGTGACTTTAGTTCAGGAAGTTTTGTTTTGTGTTTTAAATAAAAGGAAAGAGCAAGTTTGCTCAGTCAAGTGATCAGATCCCGAATCTAGATTCCCAGTTCTAAGGCCTTATCACCTCCCCTGCCCATAGGCCAACAACCATAGTTCCTCACATTAGTGATTAGCAGACTCTTTGTGGACGAGTGAATTTCACAAACAGCACAATTTCAGAAGAAATCGAGGGCACAGGCCCTCACTTTTCTTCTTTTGACGCATCATCCTGTGATGTTGAAATGTCAATTGCAGGATGCTGATGTTGTGCACGTCAATCACCGGGCACTTGCATACTCTTAGAAACAGTTCGACTTCGGTTACTGCCTTCTCCCTTGAAATCCTTGCTGCGTGCCCACCAGGATTTCCTGTGAGGGCCCAGGAATGAGCAAGGCATGGTCTGCCACCAGCTGACGGAAAGCAGCCTTCTGTACAACAGATGGGAGGGTGAAGGGGGCAGAATGAAAATCGAACCAACCTTTTAGCTGTTGCAAATCAGAAGGAGCCAGAGAAGCAGGCAGTCTCATGCATGAGAGGTTACCCTTCAGGATGACAGAGCTGAGGGTCTTTGTAGGAGTTGCTCTTGCTGTGTAAAGCACTATTGTCTTGGGGTTGAGCCCTAGGGCAGTTCTTGGTAGGTTCTGCTGGGCAGAACATATGGGTTAAATCTCGGTAGAGAGTTTCCCTCATCCTCTATCCGTAAGTGTCCTTCCATGCAAGGTCCCACTCTAGGTGATAGACAGGGACCCCTTCTACTGAACCTTTGAGGAAAGGAGGAAGGAAGAAATGCGTTTAGATCTTGGATGCAGACCTTTCAAAGGGTTAAATGTAACCATATGGATCAACCACATGCACATCCTTACTACAGAATCCGTCCTTTCATTTCAACTTATAGCAAGCTATGATTTTTATATATAAATATTATATAAATAATGTATAAAACATTAAAAGTTAACTATGTAAGATATTATTTCTGAAACAATTTAGCTATATCCACTATGATTATAAACTGTGTCTCGACCTGTGTTATTTACATTAGCTGCTTAAAAAAGCATTGAGTTAATTTTTTTAAATATCAACTAAAATATCATAGTTCTGTGGTAGACATTGTTTTATAATGAAATAACTGCAACTAGAGAAAACTGTATAAAAACATTAAATTGTCAGTATTTTTGTAAGGTTCCATTTTGTAAAGAGAATAATATTCAAAGACTTTTGTAGCATACAAAGTGAAAACTTGTATCTGCGAAACTATACTTGTATTAAATGTGCTTTTTAAATAAAAGCTCGTAACACAACTAATTAAGGACTTGCAAGCCTGGAGTGTTTGAGAGATGTTTGTCTCAGGTGTGTGGGTAGGAGAAGGAAGCATCGCGGGCTGGCCTCTTTGAGTGGGCTTGCCTCATCTCAGCGCACCAACTCCTGATTTTTTTCAGTGGGAAATGTGGTGGTCATAGGGTAGATACCGATGTCTGCCCTGCTCTTTCATCTCTGAAAGCCTGTTTGCAGAATGAGGCCCTGGCTCTACCCTCATCTCAGGCTCTTCTAAAGAGCTTTTGTATTCTAAAGAGGATTTTTCCATCAGAGAGGTAGGAGCTGTAGGAACCCCGAGGGCAGATAAGCAGCCCTCACTCTAGATAAGGTATGCTGGGGGAGCTTACTGAGGGAATCCTGTACACAGCCCACATCAAAGGAAGGCTGAGAATGGCCTGTGGCTCCTGCTTCCCTTCCTTGTGTTTCTCCAACCTGGAAGAAAAGGGGAAGCTAGAAATTCACATTTATTGAGCACCTGTGTGCCAGGGATTTCTGCCTATTTGTTCTGTCTGATCTTCACAGCAGTTATTTTGAGAAAGAAAGAATACTAAAGAATGCAAAGATGAAATGATTAGTCTAAGATCCTAGAGCATTAAATTGTAGGATAGGTCTTATATTAATTTGCTATAGCGGCTATAACAAATTACCACAAACGTAAAACAGCATAGATGTATTGTCTTACAATCTTGGAGGCTCTAGGCAAGAAGCTGTTTCCTTGCCTTTTCTGTTTTTAGAGGCCACCCACTTTCCCTGGCTTGTGGCCCTCTTCATGTTCACATGGAGGAAGCAACATTGGGTAGAGTCCTCACCCTGCCATCTCTTTGGTTCTCCTCTTCTGCCACCCCTTTCACATGTAAAGGCCCTCCTTGCTGATTACACAGACCTGCTCATAATCTAGGATAATCACCTATATTAAAGTCAGTTCACTGGCAAACTTAATTCAATCTGCTGCCTTAATTCCTCTTTGCCATGGAACATATATTCACAGATGCCAGGGATCTAAGACATGGCCATATTTCGGGAACCATTATTCAGAGTACCAGAGTTCACCCTCTGGCCCTCAAAAGATTCACATCCATCCCAAATGCAAAACAGATCACCCTATCCCCACATCCCCTAAAGACCTAGGATATGGCAGTATCAAGTCAAAATCCTAAATCTTAACAACTTAAACACCCCAAATCTCATCATCTAAACTAACCCATTCAAATTAGGTAAAAAGGAGGCTCCATGTTTAATCCACCCTGGAATACATTGCTCTCTATGAACCTGTGAAAATTAAGAAACAAGTTATCTGCTCCCTAAATTCACTGGTGAAACAGGCATAGAATAACAGTTATAGACATTCCTATTTAAAAAGGGAGAGAAGCCAGGCGTGATGTTTCACTCCTGTAATCCCAGCACTTTGGGAGGCCGAGGCAGGCGGACCACGAGTTCAGGAGATTGAGATCATCCTGGCTAACATGGTGAAACCCCATCTCTACTAAAAATACAAAAAAATTAGCCGGGCGTGGTGGTGGGCGCCTATAGTCCCAGCTACTTGGGAGGCTGAGGCAGGAGAATGGCGTGAACCCGGGAGGGGGAGCTTGCAGTTAGCCGAGATCCCGCCACTGCACTCCAGCCTGGGCGACAGAGTGACACTGTCTCAAAAAAAAAAAAAAAAGGAGAGAGAGAGAGAAATAGACGGAAAAAAGAAGTCATCAGTCCCCAGCAACTTCAAAATCCAGCAGGGACCAGGCATGATGGCTCACTCATGCCTGTAATCCCAGCACTTTGGGAGGCCGAGGCAGGCAGATCACTTGAGGTCAGGAGTTCAAGACCAGCCTGGCCAACGTGGTGAAATCTCATCTACTAAAAATACAAAAGATTAGCTGGGTGTGGTGGCACACTCCTGTAATCCCAGCTACTCTGGAGGCTGAGGCAGGAGAATCACTTGAACCCAGGAGGCAGAGGTTGCACTGAGCCGAGATTGCACCACTGCACTCCAGCCTGGGCAGTGGAGTGAGACTCTGTCTAAAAAAAAAAAAGGAAAGAAAAATCCAGCCAGGGATGCTCCATTTGGCTTCAAGGCCTGGAAATAGACCCAAGTGGCTCATGTCTGGTTTCTTGCCACCAAGGTCAGCCTGCTCTTTGCTGCTGGACAATGCAGTCCCCTCCAGCCCCTGGAATAGCTCAGCAATTTCACAGCATTTTTATATAAGTGGTGATGTCCGTTTGAGCCCCAAAATGTAGCTAGTAAGATCCTTAAGGCCAGAGGCCAAATTTTCACTTCAAATCTGAAGAACCAGTGTCCAGAGGGGCAGAACAACTCTTGTTGGTGGGGGTAGGAGAGGGAAGGCACCCAGGGAGTGGAGGGACTGGTGAGACCAGAGCCCAAGCCTCCTGATCCGAGTACCCCAGTCTTTCCATTTTATCTTCCAACAGTACTTGACAAACCAAACTTGAGAAGTAGCCCCGTTTCATGCGGACTTAAGGAAACAATGGAGCTGCGTGGTATTGTGAGGAGCAGCATGATGTGGAGAAGGAAACAAGGACCTGGGGACTCAGACCCAGGTTGCAGTCTTGGCTCTGACACTTCCTGGCTATGTGATGTGACTTTGGACACGTTTCTTAACCTCTCTGAGCCTTGGGTTATTGCTCGTTAAAGATGAGATTTACAAGATCTGTTTTTATACCTCTTTGCTCATGGCAGTCTGTGAGCCTTGACTTGCTTCTTTAAATGGGGTTCACGGACTAACAACATTTGTATCCCTGGGGAGCTTGGTAGAAATATAGACCTAGGAGAACCCCTGCCCCACCCCAACCTACAGAATCAGAATCTTCCTTTGGGTAGGATCCCCAGGTGATCTACATGCACAATAAGGTTTGAGAAATACCCCCACTCTTTGCTCATTAAACCTGCAGACTCTGTTCAGGTGTGCTTCCCCCAAGCCACACTCCTCCGGGGCTTGGCTCGGAGCATGCTGGGTGCAGACATCGGTAACCTCTTAGCTTAATGTACCAAAATTGCATGCATAAAGATCTGTATCAAGACTGTCAGATTCTCAGGGGCAGAAGCAAGTCTTATCCTCTGCAAATCCTGCATGTCTGCCTGGCACTGAATAGTTCCCGGCAATTTTGAACCAATTAATCATCACCCGGGTCAAAAAGTCACATGATTCTTGGTAACCATCCAATTAAACAGGCTGCAGGGACATAGAGAATTGCAAAACATTGACCCTGTCCTTAGGAATTAATGAGGACTTAAATTTCCTCTGAGGTAGAGATGGAAAAAAACAAAAACTTTAACAGCTAGAAATCTGCATAAGATTCCTGCCAGTTAGAATAAATTCGTACATTCATTCGTTGATTCCAAAGTATTTCCAAAGAACTGTTTATGTGCAAAATCCTGACGCAGGTACTTTCATGCAGTCTGCTTCATTTAAATCTTCAAAAACCACTGTTAAAGTAGATAGGATTGGGGGGAAATGAAGAGAAGTTGGTTGATAGGTAAAAAAATACAATTGATAGAAGGAGTAAGTTCTAATATTGGATAGTATATTAGAGAAATTGTAGTTAACAATAATTTATTGTGTATTTCAAAATAACTAGAAGAGAAGAATTGCAATGTTCCCAACATAAAGAAAAGATAAATGTTTTAGATGATGGATATCCCCATTACCCTGATTTGATCATTGTATATCACACACATGTATCAAAGTATCACATGTACTCCAAATGTTTGTACAACTATGATATATCAATAAAAAAATACAGAATAAAAAATGTAGCTATGAATAGTCTCATTTTACTGAGTGAGAAACTGAAGCTGTTAAGAATCTTGTTTCAGTTCACACATCTAATATGGGATAGATCTGGGATTCTGATCTAAATGACTTCAATTATCCATTGACTAATATTTATTAATCACTTCCTGTGTACCAGGCACTGGTAAACACCAGAAGTAAAACAGTAGATAAAATGGGATGCCAGCTTCGAGGAGCTTATAGTCTAAAGACGAATACAAACAGTCAAATTACAAATATGTAACTAAGAAATGGGATGAGTGTTCTGAAGAAAGAATGCAGGAGGAGCTATGAGAGCTCTCAGCAGGAGGACCTGCTATTGAGGAGGGCTTCCCTGAGACCCACCTAGAGCTAAAGTCTGGTTAGGGCACTGACCCAACAAAATGAATGAAAAGAGCCCGGCCTTTCAGGAGCCGAGAGCCTAGAATGTAGGTCTAGTAAATAATGAGTAAATAATCCCAGTAGTGTGATGGGGAGGAGGGGCCTTTATGAAGTGCTGTGACATGGAAGGAATCAGAAAGACCTGGACCTGGCCGGGCACAATGGCTCATGCCTGTAATCCCAGCACTTTGGGAGGCCCAGGCGGGCGGATCACGAGGTCAGGAGATCGAGACCATCCTGGCTAACACGGTGAAACCTCGTCTCTACTAAAAATACAAAAAATTAGCCAGGCATGATGGCGGGCGCCTGTAGTCCCAGCTACTGGGGAGGCTGAGGTAGGAGAATGGCGTGAACCTAGGAGGCGGAGCTTGCAGTGAGCCGAAATCGCACCACTGCACTCCAGCCTGGACAACAGAACAAGATACTGTCTCAAAATAAAAAAAAAAGAAAAGAAAAGAAAGACCTGGATCTGCTCCCTACCCTGTGACCCTGTGTAAGCATCCCTTCTAGAACATCTGACTCTGACAAGAAATGTCAAGTTTGTTTGTTTGTTTTTGCATAAACCCCTCTGATATGGTTTGGCTGTGTCCCCACCCAAATCTCATCTTGAATTCCCACGTGTTGTGGGAGGAAGCCGGTGGGAAGTGATTGAATTATAGGGGCGGGTCTTTCCTGCACTGTTCTCGTGGTAGTGAATACGTCTCACGAGATCAGATGGTTTTAAAAAGGGGAGTTTCCCTGTACAAGCCCTGTTCTCTTGTCTGCTGCCATGTGAGATGTTCCTTTCACCTTTCGCCATGATTGTGAGGCCTCCCCAGACATGTGGAACTGTAAGTCCCATAAACCTCTTTCTTTTATAAATTGTCCCGTCTCAGATAGGTCTTTATCAGCAGCATGAAAATGGGCTAATACAGTAAATTGGCACCAGTAGAGTGGGGTGCTGCTGATCCAGGCCTCCTGCTTTTTTATTTTTTTGAGACAGATTCTTGCTCTGTCACCCAGGCTGGAGTACAGTGGTGCAATCTCATCTCACTGCCACTTCCACCTCCCAGGTTCAAGCAATTCTCCTGCCTCAGCCTCCCTAGTAGCTGAGATTACAGGCACGTGCCACCACGCCCAGCTAATTTTTTGTATTTTAATAGAGACAGGATTTCACCATGTTGGCCAGGCTGGTCTCGAACTCGTGACCTCAGGTGATCCACCCACCTCAGCCTCTCTAAGTCTTCTAAAAGAAAACAACAAATGAGTGAATTATCAGAGATAAATATTAGTATCAGGGAGGCTTTGGTGGTATTCTTTTGATTCTCAAACTGTGTAAATAATAAGAACAAGAGAGACAACCTATTTTTAAAACTTCATAACAGGATATACAAGTGGGAGATAAACATATAAAAGCATGCTCAACTTTTTAGTCATGGGAAAATGCAAATTAAAATTACAATGAAATATCATTGCATATCTATGATATTCTTGTCTAAAGTCAAAAAACAGAAAACAAAAAACAGCGAGTGGTACCAAGTGTTGGTGTGGATGTGAAACAACTGGAACTCTCATTCACTGCTGCTGGGCATGTACACTTGTACTATCACTTCGGAAAACCTTTCCAGTATTTACTAAAGCCAATAATACACATACGCTATTCTCCAGAAATTTCACTCCTAAAATACATATCCAACAGAAGGAAATATGTGTGCACAACAAGACATGTACATGAGTGCTCATGACAATACTGTCCCAAACTGGAAGAAACCCAAGTCCCCATTCACAACTGAGCACCAATTAAATAATGGAATTAAATATTCACTTGAAGAAATACTATTTAGCAATAAAAACCAACAAACTCTTAGACATACAACAATATGAGTGAATTGCACAAAAAGAATATTGAATGAATGAAACCAGGCACAAAACAATACATACTATATGGGCTCATTTTTATAAAGTTTAAAACAGGCAAAACTAATCTATGGTGATAGAACTCTGATTTGTGGTTACCTTTGGGGCTATACATTGACTGGGAGAAGACTTGATCTGGGTGGTGGTCACTGTGTGAAAATGTGTTAAGCTGCATACTTATGATTTATGCACTTGTCTATTTGTAGGTCATAGTTCATTGAAAAGGAGAAATGAGGGAAACTTGTACAAACAAAATTTTTAAACACCAAAAGAAAAAGGAGACTGGTAGTATATTGGCAATATTACCGCTTAAATAGCTTTCAAATCCATCCCTGACCACTAACCTGTGCCAGACCTCATTAACTCTTTCTTAGCCTATTGCAAACAGCCTTCTTACGGGGTCTTCCTGCCTCCATTTATCGTCTGCTAAGACCTCTTCCACTCAGAGGTTGGGGGAGCTTTCCAAAGCACAAATCTAAACTATGTCACTCACTTGCTTAGGGAATAAAATGCTTAGCATGGAATTTATTCTTATTCTTAAATTTTGTTTTATTTTGAAAATATACTATAATACAGAGAATAACATGAGACCCCTGTGCCTAGCACTCAGCTATAACAAATTAGCATTGGGCCCTATTTTTCTGGATCAAATGTTGTTGTTAGGAAATAAAAC
Organism: Homo sapiens; assembly: GCF_000001405.40. NCBI lineage: Eukaryota > Metazoa > Chordata > Mammalia > Primates > Hominidae > Homo > Homo sapiens. The sequence continues at coordinate 56,488,013 of NC_000001.11, read as the reverse complement.
ATGGAGATAACATTTAAGCCCATTTACTCCATTCCACACAGTCCCTCCCCAAGGTAACCATTATCCTGAATTTTGGTATGTGTCTTTTAAATTTAGGTTTTCTTACTTGATCCAAAATATGTATGCATCCACGTGCCATATAAAGAACCAGTTGTGAGTTTTAAATGCATATACATGTAAATATTATTAAAGTAGTATGTATTTTGACTATATATTCTGATCATTCCATGTTGTATTTTGCACTGTATATGTGATGGCACACAGACCTGGTGTGGTTCATTTTAGCCACTCTGTGGTGTCATTATATATGAATAAACCATAACTTGTTCATTATAATATTGATGGACATTTAGGTTGTTTCCAGTTTTTCACTGTTACAAACAATGAAGTAACAGAAACCTTAAGTTTTCTCCTTATCCAAGTAAGGGAGAGTTTTAGTCTCAATGGATTTAGCAATGAAATCACTGCATGGTAAAGTATATACATCTCGACTTTAATAAATATTGCCAAAGTGCTCTTCAAAACAGTTATATCAAATTTATACTTTTAGCAGCAGCATCTGAGATTGACAATGGACTTCCATTCTCAACTGTTTGAAAGTATGACACAGTTATTGTTATACTTTTAAATATTACCAGTCTGATAAGGATGAATAAGAAAAATCTTTTTGGGTTTTAATTTTCATTTTCGACACTAAATAGGATGCACTTGTATGGTTTATAATTTTTTATTGTGAGCTTATCTATAGCAGGGCTTGTGTTTTCTCTGCGAGTCTCATATGGCCTGATCTCTAGAAAGCAGTTTTGTGTTTGCTTCTGTCAGGAAGGAGACACAGGGGTTTCTTTGGCCCTGGGCTAGGCAAATCTAATCACGCCATTCTCTTTCAAAACTCTTTACAGAAAACTTACAAAAAATAGTTCATACTGCTTAGATAGATACATAACACTGAATGATTTGGCCTCTACTTCTCTAACTTCAACTTCAGCCTGAAGGTATTACTTAGGTTTTTGTTGCTGTTTTTGTTTTGAGAAAGAGTCTTGCTCTGTAGCCCAGGCTGGAGTGCAGTGGTGTGACCTGGGCTCATTGCAACCTCCACCTACCAGGTTCATGGATTCTCATGCCTCAGCCTCCTGAGTAGCTGGGATTACAGGCACGTTCCACCATGCCTGGCTAATTTTTGTATTTTTAGCAGAGAGGGGGTTTTACCATGTTGGCCAGGCTGGTCTGGAACTCTTAGCCTCAAGTGATCAGCCCCCAAGGCATGAATCACTGCACTCGGCCTTACTTTGGTTTTATACTCCTCTTTTCTTTCTGATTTATGAAGCTTCTTTGGATCTGGTCATATATTAATGGGAAGAGAAAGTTGTTTTTTTTATGTATTTTTTTTTCTTTCTGGAGAAGGTAGTTCTGGATTAGCTAAGTCTGCCATGTTATTAGGTTTGGAATTTCAGGCCAGGCGCTGTGGCTCATGCCTATGATCCCAACGCTTTGGGAGGCAGAGGCGGAAGGATCACCTGAGGTTAGGAGTTCAAGACCAGCCTGGCCAACATGGAGAAACCCCGTTTGTACTAAAAGTACAAAAATTAGCCATATGTGGCACATGCCTGTAATCCCAGCTACTCAGGAGGCTGAGGCAGGAGAATCGCTTGAACCCCGGAGGTGGTGGTTGCAGTGAGTGGAGATTGTGCCATGGTACTCCATCCTGGACAACATGGCAAGACTGTCTCAAAAAAAAAAGATTTGGAATTTCAGCATGAGATTCCCTTCATGATTTAGAACTTGCCTATCTCTCTACCACTATTTCTTTCAACACATCCTCCTTTCCTTTTGTCCCCTAAAATCCAGCCATTCTGAACTACTTGCAGTTTTCCCAAACTCATACCACTTTGCTTTGGCATATGTATTTACTTCTTCCTAGTCCTCTTCAAGGATCAGATCCACCTCCACCTTCACCAGGAAAACTGAGCCCTGAGGTTAGATTGAATGGCTTTGCCGGCCTTCTACTTCTTTCTTGCTCTGTAATTGACTATCTATCTATCTATCTATCTATCTATCTATCTATCTATCTCATCTATTGACTGTGAACTCTTTGAGGGCAATGACGAAGTCTTTTTTTTCCCCCGACTTTTACTTATTTATTTATTTTGAGACGGAGTTTTGGAGTCTTGCTCCGTTGCCCAGGTTGGAGTGCAGCGGCGCGATCTCGGCTCACTGCAACCTCTGCCTCCCGGGTTTAAGCAATTCTCCTGCCTCAGCCTCCTGAGTAGCTGGGATTACAGGCACGTGCCACCTTGCCCAGCTAATTTTTGTATTTTTAGTAGAGACGGGGGTTTCACCATGTTGGCCAGGCTGGTCTTGAACTCCTGACCTCGTGATCCGCCCACCTCAGCCTCCCAAAGTTCTGTGATTACAGGAATGAGCCATCATGCCTGCCCTCCTAACTTTTATTTTAAATTCAGGGGGTACCTGTGAAGGTTTGCTACCTGGGTATATTGCATGATGCTAAGGTTTGGGGTACAAATTATCCCATTGCTCAGGTATGAGCAGAGTACCCAATAGTTTGTTTTTCAAATCTTGCCCTCTTCTGTCCCTGCCTGCTCTGGTTGTCCTCAATGTCTATTGTTGCCATCCTTATGCTCATGAGTACTCAATGTTTAGCTCCCACATTTAAGTGAGAAGATCTGGTATTTAGTTTTCTGTTCCTGCATTAGTAACTTAGGGTAATGACCTCCAGCTGCAGACACGTTGCTGCAAAGAACATGATTCCATTTTTTTAATGGCTGCATACTATTCCATGGTGTATATGTATCACATTTTCTTTATCCAGTTCACCATTGATGGGCACCTGGGTTCATTCCATGTCTTTGCTATTGTGAATAGTGCTGCAATGAACATGTGAACACATGTGTCTTTTTGGTAGAAAGATTTGTTTTCTTTTGGATATATACTCAGTATTGGGATTGCTGGGTTGAATAGTAGTTCTGTTTTAAGTTCTTTGAAAAACCTCCAGACTGCTTTCCACAGTGGCTGAACTAATTTACATTCCTACCCACAGTGTATAAAAGTGCTCCCTTTTCTCCACAGCATTGCCAACATCTGTTTTTTTTTTTTTTTTTACTTTTTAATAATAGCCATTCTGACTGGTATGAGATGGTTATCTCACTGTGGTTTTGACTTACATTTCTCTGATGATTAGTGATGTTGAACATTTTCTCATATGTTTGTTGGTCACTTGTGTGTCTTCTTTTGAGAAGTGTCTGTTTATGTCTTTTGTCCATTTTTTAATGGGGTTTTTGTTTGTTTGTTTGTTTGTTGAGTTGTTTAAGTTCCTTATAGATTCTGGATATTAGGCCTTTCTCAGATGCATAATTGGTGAATATTTTCTCCTGTTCTGTGGATTGTCTGTTTACTATGTTGATCATTTCTTTTTGTTGTGCAGCAATTCTATAGTTTAATTAGGTACCACTTGTCAATTTTTGTTTTTGTTACAATTGCTTTTGAAGACTTAGTCATCAATTCTTTCCCAAGGCCAGTGTCCAGAAGGTGCTTCCTAGATTTTCTTCCACAATTCTTATAGTTTGGGTTCTTACATTTAAATCTTTAATGCATCTTGAGTATGGTGAAAGGTAGGGGTCCAGTTTCAATCTTCTAGATATGGCTAACCAGCTATCCCAGCACCATTTATTGAATAAGGAGTCCTTTCTCCATTGTTTATTTTTGTCAACTTTGTTGATCAGATGGCTGTAAGTGTGAGGCTTTATCTCTGGTCAATGACAGTGTCTTATCCTTCATTTTTTCCTTAGGCTAGAACATAGTAGCTGGCACAGAGTAGGTTCTTGTTAAATACTTTTTGATTGAATAGATGACTAAAGAGTCTCCCCTTTCGTTTATATGCAGAAGTGTATGTGTGTGTTATGTTATTATATGTGCAAATATGTATACGTACTTGTAAATATATTATGATTGGATATCCACACAACTTTGTGTGTCTGTGTGTGTGTGTCTAAGTATACATGTGTATGCATATGTTCACTCTCCTTCTCCTGAGTGGGTGACACAAACTATTAGGTGGCATTTGTGGAGATGCTGCATGCAATGTTTGTGGTGAAAGTGGAGAAGGGAAATAAAGGATAATTGCCACTTTAGTGGCCAAACCATGGAATATGTGGTCCAAGCAGCTTTCATTCAGAAACTCTTGCTATGGAAGGTGACTGCTATGGAGGTGGGGGGTCCAGAATTATTTGTATCTATGTGAACACCACACTGCTCTTGGGTTCAGGGTGTTGGGAGGACAGGGTGGAATGAGTTTTGACACAAATGGACAGCCTTGGTGGACAATGGTTCCCATAGACCTGATCTCTTCAAATCCAATTAAAATTTGTGTGCCCAGTTTTCACTTTTCATTTTCTCTTTAATCCTTTGAGGCCAGTTCCTGCTGCACACAGGGGTCTCTTTCTAACCCGTTAAGTCTCTGCCTTCTATTTCTGTGGGGTTTTTCCTCTCATTCTCTGGCATGTGTGGGCAAACAGAAACTTAACTGCTGGCACTCTCTCTTTCAGCTTGATTCATGGGATGCTGTCTGGGGTCCACCTTTATTGGCAAAGGAGTTTCATGACCATGATGTTATGTCTGCTCAGTTGGAAGACCCCAACATGAATCAAGACATCAGAGGAAATGAGTGCTGATCCTCCAAGAAGACAAGCTCATGAAGTCATCATCAGTGACGGCAAAGGAAATTAAGGAAAACCAAGGTCAGAGTTCTAAGAGTACAATCAGTGTTTGTTTATTCATTCATCATTCATTCAATAAATGTTCACTGGGTCCTACACTGAGAATTAGCCATAGTTCCTTCCCTTAAGAAATTTGCAGTCTAACCATCAAGATTGACCTATGGACAAAAAGAAAGACAAAAGTAAGCCTAGGATGCTATGAAAAACCCAGATAAGATGAATCTAAAATACAGGAAGATCAGAGAGGAAGCAAATTGCACTGATAAAGTGCATGGGCTTACAGTGAGATAAACTTGATTTTAAATCTCCTCTCTACCACTTAACTACATAAGCCACTTACTAATCGAGCATCCATTTCTTCAGTTGGACATTGGACATAATACCTATGCAGAATGGTGGTGATGATTAAATAAAGTGAACTTTCTAGCATAGAAATTAACTCACTGCAAGTATTAAAATGGAAGATATTTTATTATATATTTTATATAGATGGTGCTTAATGTTAAATTTTGAAGCAACAAGTAGAAATTGACTAGATGAAGGAAATGAAGCATGGTGTTCTAGACAAAGAACACAACATCGTCCAAAGGTCATGTTATGCAGTTTGATGTGGTTGAGGTAAAGGGCTCATGTGCACAAGTGGTAGAAGCTGAAGTCAGAGTAAATAGAGGACAAATCATGCAGGATATCTACCTAAGAAGTCTGAATTATTTTCTGAAATCTATATTTAGATATTTTAAAAAGAGAATAACATGTTTAGATTTGCATTTTTTAAAAGTTACTTTGAAGCAACTTGGCAAACTTACCAAGAACCTTTGATCTAATAATTTTACGTCTAGGAATTTATAAGGAAATAATCAGAGATTAAGAAAAAAATTATGTACAAGAATTGAAACATTTTATAATAATGAAATTGTAAACAATCTAAATGTTAAATAATTGGGAAATGATCAAATGAATTATGACATAGTCAATTGATGTAATATTTTAAAGATTTCAAATGTATTCAACAACATTTAAGGGTATAGAAAAGCATGCATAATAAAATGTCAACAAAAATTTCAAAGCTCAATACAATGACCCAGTTTGAGTTTAAAAGAGAGAAAGAAAGAAAAAGAAATATCTATATGTACAGCCAAACTATTAGCAGTAGCAGTATAAAAAATATTTTAAACCTGTAGTTACTTCTGTATAGTGAGATTATTGGTGATTTCTATTTTTTTTTCAAAATTTTCTGCATTTTCCATATAAGAATTAATGTGTAGCTTTTACAAATTAATAAAATATTTTTTAAAGTGATCACCCTGGTAGGTATTATACGGAATAGTTGAAAAATGGTTTACATAGGAGAGACAGAAAGAAATGAACAATTAGATGACTATCATAATAATTCAGGGGAGAAGTGATGAGATTTTTAGCCAAGGCATACCCAGAAGGTAGGGAGAACCAGATATGGATTCTAGAAATATGAAGAGTTAGAACTGAGAAGACTATTGGATACAGGTGGAAAAAGAACAAATCAAACATATTGCTCATGTTTCTGTCTTGTTTCTCTCCTAGACTTGGTGGAGTTTGTACTGATCTCAGAGACAGAGGGAAAACAGGGAAAGGGTAATTTGGAGGAGAAAGTGGTAGAGATCATTACTGTTTTGGATATGTTGAACTTGAGGTGTTTGTGGGATCTTAAGGTGGACAAATCTGGTAAAGAGTTGGATAAATAGGTCTGAAGTTCATTATTCATGTATTCATTCAAATATATTTACTGAGCAACTACTATGTGCCAGACAAATACAAATTCAGAGTTGTGTTTGGACACAGAGCAATGTACAAAAGAGAATAATGCTTGCATTCCAGTTTGGAGCTGGAACTTCCAGCTCACAATAGACATCTGGGATTGGAGATAGGCTTTTAGGAGTCAAAAACTCAGAGATGGTAGGGGGAGATAAGCCTTGAGAGGTGGATGAAACAGATGGCCCAGTGTGGGGGGCTGTAAAATGAGAAGAGTGGCTTTAGTTTGGATCAAGTTCAGACAGGCTATTTCTTTTCTATAGCTCAGAGGATTGAACTGCTTTGTTAAATATCTGCTAACCCCTTAACTATGATAACTACTTTCTGATTATACTCAATTCCCTTCTGTGAGAGGTGAACAAATCACTATCTGTCTCCTAGACTTGGTTGCCACACCTCTAAACTAAGAAAACGATAAATTTTACCTGCTTCAATATGATCTTCCTGCCACAGGGCCTCTGCACACTCTGTGTCTTCTGCCTAGCATGCTCTTCCCTGTGACCTTCCCCTCCTTCATTCCTTCTTGTCATTCATATCTCTGCTCAATGAACACTTCTGCGGAGAAGACTTTCCTGATCTTCCCTGTATAAAGCAGGATGAACCCAAGCCCCTATGACTCTAGCACCCTATTCTAATCATTTCTCTTTCTGATATTTCTCTTATTATTTTTACTTATTATTGGTTCTTCTAACCCCCAACTAGAATGTGTGATAAGAGTATGGATCAAGCTTGTTTTGTTCTTTGTTTTAGTTCTGACTCCTGGAACAGGGCCTGACACATAGTAGCAAGAAATAGTTTTGGGATTATTTTAAATTTGAATTTTGAATTATTTGAAGAATTTTAAACAAATAAGACCAGCTTTAGGAGTAAACATTAAAAAACAATTATTGAGCATTTCTAGGTGCCAAGCACCTTGTTAAAGACTGATGATATAGAACAAAGTCACAGTTGTTTCTTATTTGCAAAGAGCTTTACATCTCATGAGAGATACAGACACGTATGCAGCCCTTATAAGGGAGCCCTTATGAGGGAGTGAGTTGGTACAGGGAAGGATCTCAAGATGTGTTTGTATTCATGGAGTCTGGAACTAGATAGTCTCAGGTTCTAAATTGGAACACTGGGATTTGGGATTCAGGTGCAAACTTGATATTCTGACCCACAGGCTCGAGTGATGAATCAAAAGATGGGACAGGAGAGTGAGTCTCCTTTTAAATCTTTGCTAGATTTTGAGCTTTTTATCTTTCTGGTTCACATTGTCCATCCAGAGCTGTATATACACAAACATAGTAGGTACTCAGTAAATATTTGTTGAATAAACAAAAACCTCATTTCAGAGTGAAATAAAATTCAGACTTGGTGTATACATGTAATGGAGTATCATTCAGCCACAAAAAGGATATACATTTTGACACATGTCACTCCATGGATGAACTTTGACGACATTATGTTTAGTAAAGTAAGCCAGTCACCAAAAAGACAAATACTATATGATTTTCCTTATATGAGATATCCAGAACAGTCAAACTCGTATAAACAGAAAGTAGAATGGTTGCTGCCAAGGGCTGGGGAAAAGAGGGAATGGAAAGTTGTCATTTAATGGGATTAGGGTTTGAATTTTGCAAGATAAAAAATCCCAGAGATTGGTTGCACAACAGTGTGACTATTACTTAGCTTAACACTACCCAACTGTACACTTAAAAATGGTTAAGACGGTAAATTTTTACGTTGTGGGTATTTTACTAAGCTTAATAATAATAATAATAATAATAATAATAATAATAATAAAATTCAGAGTGTGTGGCTGATTATTTAGCTGCACCTGGATCTTATATGTAAATTTATATTGAGCAGTTTTAGATACAACTTACAAATGTGTGTTAGAGTACACAATATTTCTTTTTTATTTTCTTTTTCCCCTGCAGAGCAGAGTCTTGCTCTGTCACCCAGGAAGGAATGCAGTGGCGCAATCTCGGCTCACTGCAACCTTCGCCTCCCGGGTTCAAGCTATTCTCCTGCCTCAGCCTCCCGAGTAGCTGGGATTACAGGTGCCTGCCACCACGCCCAGATGATTTTTGTATTTTTAGTAGAGATGGGGTTTCACCATGTTGGCCAGGCTAGCCTCGAACTCCTGACCTCATGATCCGCCCTTCTTGGCCTCCCACAGTGCTGGGATTACAGGTGTGAGTCACCGCGCCCGGCCAGAGTACACAATTTTTCAAAATTCTCTTCTGCAGGCAGGTGAACCATACAAGTTTGAAGCCCCTTAACACAGACAATTCTTGAAGAGCTGGCCTGTAAATGGAAGCTGAGAAATGGGTTAAGTAGCTGGAGGAAGATAGGGAGCCAAAAGAGACTCTTGTTTTTGGTTTGCTTTTGTTTTTAAGATGGTGGAAATGGTAGTGTCTGTGAGCTGAGGCCAATGATCCAGACAGAGGAAAAGTGATGGTGCAGAAGAGAAGAGCTCTGGGAGGGTTTTCAGAGCTGTGAAGGGCTTGGGCGTCGAATGCAGGTGGAGGTTCGGCCTATGGCAGGGCAAGACAGCTTTCATGCGAAATCACAGGTCGGAGGGCAGAACAGGATGGCCACCAGGCAAGCCACGCTACAAATCAGGTGGGTGCCTGGGGAAAGCTTGCAGAAGTTCTGGCCTGATTGCGTCTATTTCCTCAATAAAACAGCAACAAAGTTAGCAGCAGTGAGGAAGGATGGGGGAGCAGAGGGGGGAGCTGAGAAAAGAGAAAATGTAAAGTATTTGTTTAGAAGAGTGGAAGAGAATCCACTGGGAAAATGTAGTAGGGATGTAAGTCAGCATTAACCACCCATTTGGGGTTAGTGTCAAGAATTTATTGGGAATAGTCAGCAAGGTGGTGTGCCTTGCCCGGCAGACGCAGGTGAGGGTGGACAAGAGTTGAATTTAACCTGCTTGGGGTTTGGCAGGTGCGTACACCTATGGGTTCGAGTGGCAAGGGAGTTTAGACCGAATAATTAAAATGACGGAGCATGGACTTTATGCTGAGGAAGCAGAGAAACCGATGGCATAGGGATGGGTGGGGGGCAGTGAAAAGGCGGGTAGGATCAACGGATTGTTGTGTCCCTATGGGCTGTCGAATGCTGCGGCTGGAGTGTTGACTTTTATTTTGTAGATTTCAGCATATATACATATACGCTGAAATTATATATTACATGCTATATATGTTATTATATGTTATATATTATCTGCATATATACACACACATATTCCCAGAGGAAGTTAAACTTAACCTGGTCTCATATATACTACACATATAAAATATGTATATACACATATGTATGTATACACACATAGACATGTATACACACATATATACATATGTATATATAAAAATATATACAGATATTTTAAATTTCATATATATTTCCCGTCCCCTCCAAGAGCCCTTTCTGACCCCTGACCCCCTTCTTTAGCAGAACCCAAATGGTTTCCGTGGGTGGAACATCTCCCTGCGTTTCTGAGGACATCAGCGCACGTGGTTTCTTTCCCGGCCGCCGCAGCCCACTTGGTCGGTTTCCTCCTAGTTTTGGCCTGGTGCCCTCCCCGCGGGGCTCTGCCGGGTCTGCGGGTCGGGGCCGTCCGTCCTTTCACCCTGGAGGAGAGAAAGCAGAGATGGGAAGCTTGCGCGCTCGGGCGGGGCCAGTCCACCGAGCCCGACGAGGCTCGGACGGCCCCGGAGGTGGGCGCGCCTCGGCCGTTCCTCCGCGGCGGGGGCTGCTCCGGACGCCCCACGTCTCGGGCCTGGGATTCAGCCTGTGAGGTGGGGGCGGCCGGGGCGGCGGCTGCCGGGAGGGGCTCATTGTTCTGCCGGCCGCTTTGACTTCATTTTCTGCTTTTCATCCCAGGCCGGGACGGTTTAGAATGCAAATGCGGGCTGCTTTTGTAGCTGTGCGTTTGTCTGGGAGCCGTGCGTTTGTCTGGGGTGAGATCACAGCAAAAGGGTTTTGTTTGGCTTTTTAAATTCTTCTGGGGAGAGCAAAAGAAGCTGGAGGAGCGCTGGGCGCAGAAGACCTCCCGGGCGGGAAGGCGGGGCAGGCATGGGCCCAATGGGAGCAGCCGTCGGCTTCTGCAGGCCTGGTTTGGAAAGGAACCGGGTCAGAAGGGTGTTGTTGAACATTAACTCCTTGTGGCCTGGCGGATGGGGAGTTGGGGGTTTCCAAGCTGCTCACCCCAGAACATGCAGTCCACTAATACTGTATTTCGTGCTTCCTTTGTGCCACACCCTGGGGACATTTCCAAAGAGAAAGGTGACGTCCAGCCCTTTCACGTGACTGCATCTAAGTGTCCTCTGCCAGAAGTGGATATTCGGGCACTTCATCCTCACGACCCTGTGTTGTAGGTATTACTGTCTCCATTTTATAGATGAGGCAGTTGAGAGTTAGAACATCACCCAGATAGTATGGGACAGAGCTTTCTTGAGGCTGGGATGTGCCTTCAAAGCCCAGGCACTTTGTCACTCCAGGCCCACCAGGCCCTCGAGGGGTACCCAGCTTGGTAAGCAGGGAGAGAACGAGGGAAACTAAGAATGATAAGTCAGATTCAGAAGAGTGGTATCCAGGTAAATGCTCGAAGCATAGGAAGAAGCCAATGGAGTGTGTTTGTTTGTTTTTGAGAAGGAGTCTTGCTCAGGCTGGAGTGCAGTGACCCGATCTTGGCTCACTGCAACATTTGCCTCCCGGGTTCAAATGATTCTCCTGCTTCAACCTCCTGAGTAGCTAGGATTACAGGCATGCGCCACGATGCCTGGCTAATTTTTATATTTTTAGTAGAGATGGGGTTTCACCATGTTGTCCAGGCTGGTCTTGAACTCCTGACCTCAGGCGATCCACCTGCCCGGGCCTCCCAAAGTGCTAGGATTACAGGCGTGAGCCACTTGTGCCAAGCCTGTTTGTTTGTTTTGAGATGAAGTCTTGATCTGTCTTCCAGGCTGGAGTGCAGTGACGAGATCTCGGCTCACTGCAACCTCCACCTTCCAGGTTCAAGTGATTCTCCTACCTCAGCCTCCCAAGTAGCTGGGATTACAGGCGTGTGCCACCACAGCCAGCTAATTTTTGTATTTTTAGTATAGACAGGGTTTCACAATTTTGGCAAGCTGGTCTTGAACTCCTGACCTCAGGTGATCCGCCCCTCTCGGCCTCCCAAAGTGCTGGGATTACAGGCGTGAGCCACCGCGCCCGGTCTGTTTGTTTGTTTTTGAGTGACTCAGGGAAATATTCCCATAGGAGGTTAAACTTAACCTGGCCAGAGGATGAGAAGGGAGTAGGTTTTCCACAAGCACTGCTAGACATATCAGGTCCAGGGAGCAGCAGGTTCAAAGATGGATTCTGTACCAGAATCTCTGTACACAATTCTGGTACACAGAATGCAAGAACTAGAAGGCCCTTAGGAAGCTCCCACCCTTTCATTTTACTGAAGACGTAAAAGGAGACCCAGAGAGGGTAAGTAATTATTTAAGATCACAAAGCAAGCGAGTGACAAAACTGGAACTGGAACCCAGATGCTCTACCCTTTCATCTGTGGTATTTCTTAACTCAGTAGTCACACATACAATGTAAGCGAGTTCACACTTGTGTAGCACTTAACAGTGGGCCAAGTACTTGATATACTTTCCTCTCTTTTAGTCCTTGTAACAAATTCATGAGGTAGCCACTGTTTTACAAAGGAGAAAACTGAGACACAGAGAAGCAACTGACTCAAGATCACACTGCAAATCACGCCCTAGAACCCATGCCCTTTCCTACTCTGCCACAGCGCTGATAAGTAGGTAAGGAAAGAAGGGAGGCCCAGAGAAGGCAGTTACCAATTTTAAGATCATAAAACAGGCAAGTGAAGGAAAACCATTTCAATGTAGAAATTTTGACCCCTGTATTCAGATGAGGAAACGGAGACTCAGATGTCCAGTGACTTGCCCAAGAACACAGTGAGAAAGTGGTGGGCCTAGCATTGGAGACTATACCTGAGTTCTTTCTACTCTGTCTAGCTCAGCCCCCACCTTGGATGGAGAAGCAATCAAAGCTCCCCTTCCCTTGGTATCTTTCAGATCTTTTACAGATAGTCCTAGTCCTGGTCCAGGTGCATGTTCAAATCTCCTTCGCCTCCTGGATGAAAAATTACCTGCGTAAATGACTCACTGTGTGAATAGCTGGGCAGGGATCAGAACCCCCGTCTCCCTGCTGCCAATGTAGTGATTTTCTATACTCTTTGCTTTCCCTTGTTCAGCATGGCGTAAGGGAATCTGGATCACATTATCCCCCAGAGACCAAAATGTGAGTCGCTTTTGGCTCTTGGGGTCTTTTAGAGAAGCCACTTGGTGTAGCAGCTTTTTAGGTTTGCAGGATAAGAACTGAAGGGGCAAAGCTGGGTCAGGACAGCCTGCATTGGAGGCATGGGACCTGCTTGAACTTAGTTAGCATGTCTTTTTTGTTGTTGTGGTTGTGTTTTTTTTTTTTTTTTTTTTTTTTAGACGTAGTCTTGCATTGTCACCCAGGCTGGAGTGCAATGGCCCGATCTTGGCACACTGCAACCTCGGCCTTCCGGGTTCAAACAATTCTCCTGCCTCAGCCTCCCGAGTAGCTGGGATTACAGGTGCCCGCTACCATGCCCAGCTAATTTTTGTATTTTTAGTAGAGACAGGGTTTCACCATGTTGGCCAGGCTGGTCTCGAACTCCTGACCTTATGATCCACCCTCCTCGGCCTCCCAAAGTGCTGGGATTACAGGTGTGAGCCACCGCTCCCGGCCCAGCATGTCTTAATTCTGGGTGAAGAGTGAGGAGCAGACAGAAATAAGAATTGAGGTAGAAAAATGAGTCTCCCTAAATATTTCTGAATGCCCTCACTGGCCTGGCGAATAGGATGCATGAGAGTGCTCAGAATTAATTAAGTTCGTCTGACTTGTCTTCACCACTAGTTAAGGTGTCTCTGAGGACTTGACTTCCAGAAGGAATATTTGGAAGGAAGATTTCCACTATGGAAGAAAGCTCTAGACTAGATTTCAGGAGGTTTAGGGGACTCAAGCCAGCTGTGCCGCTTACTGGCCGTTTGACTCTGGAAAAGTCAGTTCACCTCTCTACGCTTCACTCATCATTCATTCATTTACTCTGTCATTCAATAAACATTTCTTGAACCCCTCCTGTGGGCCTGGCATGGTACTGATGCCTGAGAACTTCTAACCAGACAGCCCCTGCCGTGGAAGAACTCACCGCCTTGAGAGGGAAACAGACAAGTCCAGAGATTGTGAGTGGACTCCAAACTATTTTGGGCTGTGAACAAAAACCCCCAGAGGAACTTGTCAACAGGACCACAGTTAACTCTGTTGGAGCCTTTGTGAAAATTTGAAAAAGGCACCCCTTTTTGTGGGTGACTATAGCTCCATGGCAGGATGCCCAGCTTGGCAAGCAGAGCACAAGTGGAGATTTTTCACCCTTAGTTGTCCCCTAGGCTGGTTGCTCTTGCCTGGTGAGGCATCTGTAGCCCAGAATGTCAAGATTGAGACATAAAGGTCCAATAGAGGCTAAGTTGGAGGAGCCCACTTCAGGCTGAGGAAAAAAACTCATGCAGAAACTTCAGGCTTGGGGAGGAGTTTCTCACACTTGGGCACCTGGATGCGGTTCAGTGTGATCACAGTCAGTGGCATATGGGAAAAGTGAAGAGAGATGAGATTAGGAAGATTGGCAAGGGCTGTTTATTACTCATTCGTTAAATAAATAGATATTGAACATCATTCCAAGTTGAGTGTTGTAAACACTAGGGAAATAGCAGTGAACAAAATAGACAAAATCTTGTGCCCTTGAAAGTCTCACATTCTGGTGAGATCCTGATGGGCCTCCACCTATAGAAGGGCATATTAATTTCTGCCCAGTGTTCCTTGTAACATTGTGTGAGTCCCCAAATGAGATAATGCGTGTAAAAGCCCTCTGAGAACTGGGAACATCTGGATTATTCTTATGAATAATCACTTTTAACTTTAATCTGTGTGACCAACACTAATGCCTAAGAATTTGGAAGCCTGTTCTTGACACCAGGCACCTACCTGACCCTTCCTTCTGGGAAGAAGACACTTTTGGTCGTGATGCTGCAGGAACTGTCTGGGTCAGCTGAGATGGCTGGCTGGCCCCTGACTTCCCTGGCCTGTTTAGGAATCTACCAGCACATCCTCAGGGTATGGTACCTGTAGTGGTTAAAGGCTCTTTCTCTTCTGAGTGAAATACAGATGGAGACAAGACAGTCACTGAAAAATTATGAGCAAAAGAGAAGCTCTCTCTATGGGGTAAAAGTGGGTTGAGGGACTTCAAGAAGCCTTGTCGGGTTGTTTCCAGGTTAGGCACTGGGTCTGGCTTGATCGGTAGGTCTGATTCAGGTGAAAGGCTGGTTTCTAGGCATGGGGAACTTGGCCTCCCCCTTACTGTGAAACTTTGGGCAAACCACTTCCCCTTTCTGGACTCTAGCTCCTTCCTCTGTTAACCAGGAGGTTGCACATATTTGAACTTTAACAACAGAGCCTTTTGAACTCTCCTATAAAACCCTAGTTTATAAACTAGATTAAAGCAGTGGTGCTGTGGTTGAAGCGAGGATGGGGACCCAAGGTTCTCCTTCTTCTGCCTCCACCTTGTCCTGCCTCCTGCTCTCAGGACTTCTGTCTCCACCAGATATTGCCCTGGAGTCACTGAGAAATTTCTTATAAAACAAATGGATTAGATCGTTTTTTTTCTCTCTCTAATTGAGTTCCTTGGGCCTCCAGGCTCAGGGTAGGGGTGAGGGCAATTTAAAAGTTCTGCGGTAATTTGTATAAATTTGTGTTTACATTGAAATGATTATCCAAACCTCTTCTCATTCAATATAAAACAATCGGAATTATTTAAGGACCCTTCCCCTCGATTTCCATTTATAGACATGAGGTTTCAGCAGTCCTGTTTGAATTTGTGTTTATGGCTCTAGCAGCACCACGAAAACATCTGGAGTATTAGCATTTAACTTTCCATGTGGTGTGTTTCCCAAATTGGGAAATTAGAGAGTTTTTTTTTTCTTTAAAAGGAATGAATTTGTTAGGAGACAATGGCATAAACAAGATAGGAATTTATTTCTCTCTCAAATAAAAAGTCGAGGTAGGTGATCCAGAGCTAGAACGATGGCTCCACAATCATCAAGACCCCTGCTCTTTCCCTCATGTTGCTCTGTAGTGCTCAACACTTGACTTCCACCTTGTGATCCAAGACTGCAGCTCCAGCTCCTGCCATCAAGTCTGCATTCCATCCAGCAGGAAGGAGGAAAGGGGGAGAGCCTACTGTTTTCTTTCAGGGACAGAAGTTGCCCAAATCACTTCTTTTCACATCCTATAATTTGGTCATATGGCTACACCTAGCTGCAAGAAATCTCTTTAGCTGCAAAGTCTTGCGACCAACTAAAAATTCTATCACTATGTAAAAGAAGAGAACAGATAAAGGGGGCAAATAAAAATCTCTCCTCCAAGGTCTGTCTACTTCTCAAGCTTGAGAAACACTTATTCCTATAGTCCTTTCCAGGTATGAGATTCTGTGATGTGAGTAGAATCAAGGGCTTAAAGCTGAAGGGGATCTCAAGAGGTTAGCGAATGCAGTCTCCTTCATCAAATGGTGACAATATTACACACCCATTTTGCAGATAACTGGGGGTCCAGAGAGGTGCAGTGACTTGCCTAGGGTTAACTCAGTCAATAAATAGCAAAGGGAGAGGTGAATCTTGCATAGCTAATCACAGGAGTGGTGGAATTCTCTGGGCACCTGGAAGGGCTCTTATTTCTGTTTCTTTTATTCCCATTCTTATGAGGTCCTGGCTACTGCTTTTTGGACTATACTTTACAATTATACCATCATTTGGGGGATACACTGGACTCTGCCCTGGTGATTAGGATATTCTGAAAGGAGCACAAGCTTTGAAATCAGACATAGCTGGCTTTGAATCCTGGTTCTGCTTCTTATTATCTGTGTGGCCTGTGCGAGGCATTTCATCTGTTGGCTTTAGTTTTCTCACGTTTAAAAGGAAGGTAATATCCATCTTGCAAGTTTCTTCCATTTCTTTTTCTACCTTCTCTTCGCTTCCCTTCTTCCCTTCCTTCACTCCTCTTGTCCCTCCTTCTTCCCTCCTCTCCATCCTCCCTGTCCCTACCCCACACCTCTCTTCCCCTTCTTTCCTCTCTCCTTCTTTTCTTTCATTCATGGAATAATATCAGTGAAGGGGCCTGGTATGGAACTGAGTACATAGAAGTGTAAACCAAAGTTACTTTCCTTCCTTCCTTTCTTCCTCTTCCTTTTCTTCCATCTCTTCCTTCTCTTTCTTTCTTTCTTTCTTTCTTTCTTTCTTTCTTTCTTTCTTTCTTTCTTTCTTTCTTTCTTTCTCTTTCTCTCTTTCCAGTATTGTATGGTTTTGTATTTTTTTTTCCTACCAAGCTTAACCATAGAACCTAGAAGACTGAATACATTTAGTAGTTGGTATGCCTTAGATTTCCTTCAGAATATTTGGTGCCTGTAAATAATTTGCCCTGAGTGGTGAACTTTTACTTCCTTTTAACACTTGTGTGTACTTTTTAATCAGACAAGAGCTACAGTACTTTGTGTGTTTCCCTCTCTGATTGTCTCATCAGTAGACTCTGACGTGGCTATTTTCCCCTTTCTCTACTTGACATCTGAACTCTTTAAAATAGTTATATAAATTGCATGCCTACTGTAGGTTCTTCCCCCTTGTCTTCAGCTACAATTTTTCTGTGAGCTTGTGGAGGACAGGGAGTGTAAATCTATCTATCCGTGTAGCTTAGCTCAGGATCTGGCTGAAAAGAGGTGCTTGGTAATCTGTGCTGACTACGTATGTACACGTGTTACTGCAGATAAATTGGTGAGGGGAGGACATATCTGGAGAAGTTATCCATTCCCACCTTCACATTTTATAGATGAGGAAACTGAAGCCACCTGGAGATTAACTTCCTTTGAGCAAGGATCCTCTGTTAAACTTCTTTGTATTCATTACAGTACTTGTTAAGAACAGAGGAAGAAAGAAAGCATGGAAGCAAGGGAAAAGAAAAGAAGGAATAGAAAGAGAGAGGAAGGAAGAAAGGAAAAAGGTGGGAAACTAACAATTATTAAGCACTAAAAGTAACAGTTTTAATTAAATGCTTTTTCATTTCCTCTTGATAACACACGTGTGAAATAAATGTTATTATCGCATCTTTTGAAGGATGAAAATTGAGGTTCAGGAGGTGAAGTCACTTGTCCAAGTTCACACAGTGCATAGGAAGCAGAATGAGAAACTGGAACAAGTTCTGGGAAGTGGAAGCAAGCTCTTCTTGAATCATGAGTCAGTCACTGGCACGGTCAAGTGTGATGATTAATGAACTGAATAGAAAGCTAAATAATCCTTTTTTAAAAAAAAAGTTTTATTTTATAGATTCAGGGGTACATGTGCAGGTTTGTTATATGGATATATTGTGTAGTGGTAGGGTTTGGACTTTTAGGGTGCCTGTCACCCAAACAGTGAACATTGTACCCAACAGGTAATTTTTCAACCCTCTCTTCCTCTGACGCTTCCCCCTTTTGGAGCCCTTAGTTCTGTTATTACTCTCTAGATGTTCATGTGTACTGATTCTTTAGCTCCCACTTGTAAGTGAGAACATGCAGTATTTGGTTTTCTGTTTCTGAGTTATTTCTTTTAAGATAATTGCCTCTAGCTCCATCCATGTTGCTGCAAAAGACATGATTTCATTCTTTTTAATTGGTGGTGTAGTATTCCATGGCGTATATGTACCATATACATCTATTTTTGAGACAGAGCCTTGCTCTGTCACCCAGGGTAGAGTGCAGTGGTGTGAACTCAGCTAGCTCACTGCAGCCCTCCACCACCTGAGTTCAAGTGATTCTCCTGCCTCAGCCTCCCGACTAGCTGGGATTACAGGTGTGCACTACCAGGCCTGGTTAATTTTTGTATTTTTAGTAGAGATGGGATTTCACCATGTTGGCCAGGCTGGTCTCAAACTCCTGGCCTCAAGTGATCCACCCACATCAACCTCTCAAAGTGCTGGGATTATAGGTGTGAGCCACCGCACCCAGCCATATTTTCTTTATCAGTTCAGCTGCTGATGGACACTTAGGTTGATTCCATGACTTTGCTGTTGAGAATAGTGCTGCAATAGACATACAAATACAGGTACAAGTACTGGGTAGATACCCAGTAGTGGGGTTGTTGGGTCAAATGATAATTTTATTTTTAGTTCTTTGAGAAATCTCCATACTGTTTTTCCTAGATGTTGTACTAGTTTACTAATTTCTTCCCCACCAACAGTGTATAAACATTCCCTTTTTTCCACATCCACACCAACATCTGTTGTTTTTTGACTTTTTAATCATAGCCATTCTGACTGGTGTAAGGAATACATTTTCACAACAATAATCGCCAAGTTATATGACCTCAAGAAAGGTAGTCGCTGTCTCTGAGCCTCAGTTTCCTCTTCTGTAGTGAAAAATGGACTCTGAGTGCCGAGGTCTCTCTCAGCTCTCGGGTGCTGGGATTCAGTCTAACTCTCCCTGAATTCCTCAGCCATCATGTGAGCCATTTAAAAATGATAGATTCTTCCAGGAGGAGCGATGTCTCTTTAACTAGAATCGTCAAGGTCAGGCCAAGCAAACTTATTTGGGGTTTTTGATGGGATCGCTCTTAATTGATTGGGGTGAAGAGTTCAGAGCTAAGTTGGAGGATTGGCTTTTCAGCTCGGTGCTGGCAGAGACTGGGGCTTGACATGATTTGAGGTTGTCTAATGACAGCAATGCTCTTAAACAGCTGACGGGAGAGGCTTTCGTCCAGAACTCAGCAACGCTTTCCACTCCTTGGAGAATAAGAAGGGAGCTGCTGAACAATGAATAAATATGCTGTCTTGGTCACCAGTGAAGCCATGTCAAATTTCTGGGGCTTTCCTATCTTTTACTCAACTTACTGCCTGAAGGATTTTCGGTGTTCCTTGTGTGGATACGTGTGCATTGTTCCTTTGTTTGCTTTTCTTTCTTTCTTTTTTTTTTTTTTTGAGATGGAGTCTCTCTCTGTCGCCCAGGCTGGAGTGCAGTGGCGCGATCTCAGCTCACTGCAAGCTCCACCCCCTGGGTTCATGCCATTCTCCTGCCTCACCCTCCTGAGTAGCTGGGACAACAGGCGCCCGCCACCACGCCCGGCTAATTTTTTGTATTTTTAGTAGAGACGGGGTTTCACCATGTTAGCCAAGGTGGCCTCGATCTCCTGACCTCGTGATCTGCCTGCCTCAGCCTCCGATCTTTTTTTTTTAAAGATTTTTAAAAAAAATTCTAGGTCTGAAAACATTTCGGATCATATGAAATTTGATTTACTTTGCTCTCCAGAGTCTATGAGTGGTTTTTATCTCTTCTGATATTTGTATTTTCTTTCTCCTTATTACTCATTTAACTAAAATTTATTAATAATAGTAAGAGTTAAAATTGGGAGAACTTAACCTATCAATGGATACCAGGCACCATTGTTTCAGATATGAGGAGGTACTATATTGTTTCAATCAATAAACATTCATTGAACACCCAACAATTTCTAGACATTATTCTAGACAAGAGGCGTTCAGCAATGACGAAGGCAAAGTCTCTTTCTTCATGGGGTTTAGACTGTGGTGGGGAACACAGACAATAAGCAAGTAAACAAATATTTGGTATATTTTCAGGTTACCTAAATACATCTTCAGTGCAAAACAACCTTAACACGGCAGGTATTATAAATTCATTTTTACATATGCAGAAATACCAATGTGCAGATAATGAACTCACCTGCCCAAAGGGAGATGAGAGATTGGATTTAAATCCAGTCTTTCTAGTACATATTGAGGCTGTTGAAGCTTTTTATTGTGACACATCTTTACTGAGCCCAGAGACAGATAAAGTATGAAGCTCCGAGGCTTGAACTCCAGGGCGCTTCACTTGCATGGGACCTTTCTAAATTCACCTTATACCTAATTTTTAATCTTTTTCCCAATGAGGGCCTACCGCATTTTGTAAGCCTGGGGTAGGGAGGATGGGTCTCACAAAATCTAGATGGACCCTCACTGAGCTACAGATTCAAAGGCGTTCCAGGTTCCCTCAGAAGCCAGTGGAAGAGACAGATGTGAAAACAAATAATCTTTTTTCTTTCTTTTTTTTTTTTTTTGTGAGATGGAGTCTTGCTTTGTCACCCAGGCTGGAGTGCAATGGCACGATCTCGGCTCACTGCAGCCTCCACTTCCCAGGTTCAAGTGATTCTTGTGCCTCAGCTTCCCAAGCAGCTGGGATTACAGGTGCCCACCACTGTGCCTGGCTAATTTTTGTATTTTTAGTAGAGACGTGGTTTCGTCATGCTGGCCAGGCTGGTCTCCAACTCCTGATCTCAGGTGATCCGCCTGCCTCGGCCTCCCAAACTGCTGGGATTACAAGCGTGAGCCACTGAGCCCAGCTGAAAACAAATAAACTGAATACATAAAAATAAAAGCTATAATAGAAGTGTTACAGGCTTAATCATTCCCTTGCCCCACTTCATATGCTGAAACCCTAACTCTTAATGGGACTGCATTTGGAGATAAGGCTGTTAGAGAGATAGTTAAGGTTAAATGAGGTCACATTTAACTTTAATTATAACCCTAATTTAATAGTGCTCTTAAAATAAAAGGAAGAGGCACCAAAGACACTTGCACAAAGAAGGAAGTCCCTGTGAGGACATAGGGAGGAGGTGGCTGTCTGCAAGCCAGGAAGAGAGCCCTTAGCAGGAATTGAATTTGCTGACACCATGATCATGAACTTCTAGCCTCCAGAACTGTGAAGGAATCAATTTCTGTTGTTTAAGCTACCCAGTTTGTGTATTTTGTTTTGGCAACCCAAGCAGAGTGATACAAATCGGATGGATTTGAGGATGGGGGAAGCAATTCTGGCAGGGAAAATAACCCCAGCAAAGGTAGGGAGACTTGAGAGAACATAATATATTTGTGGAACCATAAATAATAATAGTGTATTTTTGTGGAGGATGAAGGCAGAGCAGGAATGGCTGAAAGATGAATGATGACAAGCGGGCAGGGAAAAGTCACAAAAGGCATGGCATGCCAGGCTGAAGAATTTGGGCTTTATCTGATAGGTATGGGGTGCACCTGATTTGCCTTTAAGCAGAGGGAGAGTCAGAATCCTCATGGTGGCAGAAGGGGTCTGGGTGAGAAGAGGGAGATTAATTAGGTGACTAATGTAAGAGCTCAGGTAAGAAAGCATGTGGCCCTGAAGTAGGTCATGGGGATAGAGATAGGGATATGTTTTGGAACTGGAATGAGAGCAAGGGAAAGAGAAGGGGAAGAGCTAGAACAACACATGGGTTCCTCGTTTGGGTACCTGGGGTGGATAGTGCTTGGAATATTCTGACCTATGTCTAAAATGATTTAAATATATTCATGGAATTCATTTACTTATGTTAGGACAAGAGCTTGGATTTCTCATATTTCAAAGAACTATCAAGTGGAGGTGTGCTATTCTCCTAGATCTGCAGGTCAACAGCATGCTGTGCTGTTTGGGAGCCAGCAAAGTAGAAACAGGATGGCCAGGAGGTGTGGGAGAAGATCTACTGGCAGGCTTTCCTAGCAACATTACACTTCTTAATAGGATGCTGGTTTTGCCTCGTACTTTGTTTTTTTTTTTTTTTTTTTTTTTTTTTTCAATAAACCCAAAACTTGGGTGAAGGAGGTTACAATATCTTGGAGAGAGTTGAGGTCAAACTTGGGAACTACTTGGCTTGGGGCAAAGAACACTTCTGTCTTGACCTGAGTCTTGACCCAACTTGCTGAATCATTTACTGTCTCTGGCCTCAGTCTCATCTTCTCAAAAATGAACCACTTGGGTTAAATGATCTTTAGTTTCCCTTTTAGTGTTAATATTCCATGTGCCAATGTTTAACTAACTTTTATAAAAAATGCACAGAGATTAAGAGTCAGGGGAAGATTAAGGTCTCATTTCCAAAGACAATGCCTAATTCATTCCTGAAATGACAAGCTTTAACTCCAAGTCCCATTTTATCTCAGTCTGGATGCGTAGACTCATAGAAGACACTAGAGAGGAGAGGATATTTGGAAACCATCCAGTCCAACCTCTTTATTCCACACTTAAAGAGACTGCCTTTGCACTCCAGCATGGGAAAGAAGAGTGAAACTCCATCTCAAAAAAAAAAAAAGAGACTGAGAAATGTGAAAAACATCATCCAAGGTCATACAGCTAGTTAATATCAGAGCCAGGAATCAAACCCAGGTCTCCTGACTAGGGCCACTTGGGGTACAC
The DNA here is from genome assembly GCF_000001405.40 of Homo sapiens. Lineage (NCBI taxonomy): Eukaryota > Metazoa > Chordata > Mammalia > Primates > Hominidae > Homo > Homo sapiens. Next base: position 56,465,156 of record NC_000001.11, on the reverse strand, counting down.
GGCCACCAGGTTATGCCCTGCATGACTCCATACACTCCCATGTGACTGGTGCTCCCCTGGAGTTGTGTAAGGTGGAGGCCCTGCTCTTGACCCTCATTTTAGCACTCCTCTCACTCTACGTGTCTAATTGTGTAAAGTGCCTCCTCCACCCACTGAGTACCTGGGCATCCTCCTTCCTCCTTTGTACCTTCCTGGTGAAATTCTATTGATCCTTCAAAACTCAGTACAAATATTACCTCCATGACAGCTCTTTCTTCCTTTGGTACATACCTCTATGGCTGTAAATACTTAAATATCACAAAGGAATTGGTTTTTTATCTCTCCAAAGTTGACCCAATAAAGGTGTTAACCATGTCTTATCTATTTTTTATTTCCGGCAGCCTGCCCAGGTGCTTAATTAATGGCCTCGGAATTAATGGACACAACAGATAAGTGATGGAATGAATATAAAGTGAGGTCCTGGAAAATATGGAATCAAACAGAAAAGGCCTAGGAAGCCACATCCCATGAGGTGTAAATAAGACCAGGGTTTCCCTCTCATCTGGTTATTTCTTGGACCTATAGGTCATCACCCTCATTAAGGACAGCTCCCCTAAGCTGTAAGCAGGAAATGCCTTGGTATCAGGCCCAATGGCCCATATTGAACACATAATCCGTTGGCCGGTGACTCACCAATGGATTCCAGAAGGCACGGTGTGGGTGGCCTTCCTCTATCAATCAATAGTTGAGTGTCCTGGCCTGTGATTGGAGCTCCTTCTTGCCACCCAAGCTTATAGGTCTCTCAGATGCAGGCTATATGGAGACCTCTGGCCATCAGTCCTGCTCAATTTCTAACCACCCACCAGGAGACGCAGGGAAGCATCCATAAAAACTAGCTTTTATGACCACTGACACCCCCTTGAGCATGGTCATTATGATTATTTAACATTTATGAGACACCCTTGCTGCAGTGGGGGCAAAAGAAAGGCAGTTTGGCCGCTTCAACACAAGCGGATGTTTCTATATAACCCCCGAAGGTGCTCCCTCCCACCCAGATGAGTTCATTTGTAACTACATTCAGGAGCTCATAGAGGCCAGGGCAAAAGCCACTTAATGCATCTTGTATAATATTAACCCAGGCATTTCCAAGGAACCTCAGTCAACCAAAAACCAACAGAGGAGATGGGCAATTAATCGGATTTTGAGTTGTGCACTTCTATTGATTTGTTCTCTGAGTGAGGTTGATGTGCAAAGTCTTTTATTCTTTCTTTCTCTCTCAGTAAAATATATAGACTTCTGACTTGATGGTAGACCCTGTGTCTGGGCTTGGCATTGTCTAGACAAATAAGGCAAGCTGTGCCCCCAGAGAACTCAAATTTGTGGAGAAAATAGGCATGAAAACAAAACTATTATTACAGCTGATGCATAAGAGCCAAGTTCATAGAAAAGTGGAGGTCTAGAGGAGGGGGTGGTCAACTCACCACTGGGCAGGGGCAGGTTAGGAAGGATTTGCGAGAGGAAAAGCTCAAATGGTGTTTGATGGATGATGACAGTTTGGGGGTGTGTGGTTGTGGAACTTGCTGGCAGAGGGAATGACTAAGCAAAGGTATGGGAGGGTGAATGGTGTGGCCTGTTCAGGGAACCCTAAACCAGGCAGACAGGCTGGAACCCACAGTGTGAGGGGATGAAGTCTTGCCCATCATTGAAGAAGGGTGGCCATGCCTGCTGCATTTGGAAACACTGGTCACTTCTTGGAATGCACTCCTCCCCTGGTTTGGAGTGCACTCCCCTCAATGGAGCAGCTCCTACCTCTCTGGATGCTTCCCCTCTGTTGTTTGTACGAGATTGTCTTTCTCTGCCCACTCTTTAATACCAGTGTTCCTCAGGGTTCCCTCCACGGTTTTTCTCACTCTAGACTCCTCTCTAGGAATTTTTCCACAGCAGCGATACCCCAAATGACATATCTCATCCAGATGAGCTCTATCCTGAACTCCAGATGTGTACATGGATCCAGCTAGTGGACATCTCTACCTGATAGGAGTGGCCATCTGCTCCCTAAACTTTCATGCATTCTCTACTTCCCATGCTTATGGAAAGCATTCATGGCCGGGCGCGGTGGCTCACGCCTGTAATCCCAGCATGTTGGGAGGCCGAGGTGAGTGGATCACCTGAGGTCAGGAGTTTGAGACCACCCTGGCCAACATGGTGAAACCTCATCTCTACTAAAAATACAAAAAAATTAGCTGGGTGTGGTGGCAGGTGCCTGCAATCCCAGCTACTCAGGAGGCTGAGGCAGGAGAATCACTGGAACCTGGGAGGCGGAGGTTGCAGAGAGATGAGATCATGCCATTGCACTCCAGCCTGGGCAATAAAGCGGGACTCCATCTCAAAAAAAAAAAAAAAAAAACAAAAGAAGTAGAAGAAAGAAAGAAGAGCATTCATATCCAGCTATTCACTGTATCCTCAAACATCAAGTTATCCTAGACTCTACACTTTCCCTCATAGGTTACACCAAGTCTATCAACCATTCATTCACTCATTCCATATTTATTTAATTCTTCCTTTTGCCAGGGCTTTGGCTAACAGCAGGTGATATAGAGATGAGTGAAACAGAGTCCTGGCCCTTGAGGAGCTCACAGTCAAATGGGAACAAATGCACATGAACAGGTGGCTGTCACTCTTGGTGCACAGTGCAGCAACAGAGGACCATGGGAAAAGACACCTACACCAACGATGGTGGGTGGGGTGGGGTGACAGAGGTCGAGCAAAGCTCCCTCAAGCAGGTGATGCCTGTGCTGATCCTCAAAGGATGAGTAGGAGTTTGGCAGGGCAACAAGGGGTGTGAGATGGTGAGGAAAGGGAGGCATTCCAGGGAAAGGGAATAACATGAGGCAATGAATGGGGGTGATACATGGTTTCTCTCCTGCAGCTCTGACTTGCGTTTAATTACAAGCAAGTCAGAGCTGCAGGAGAGAAAAATGAAATGCAGAAGTGGCTGGGGATGAGGAGAGGAGATTGAATGATGTAGGGCCTTGTGTTCCCTGATAAAGAGTTTGGATTTATCCCATTGGAAATAGTGATCCAACAATTTGAGCAGGGACTGATTTGACCAGGTTAATTGTTGCAGGAAGATCATGATAACAGGTAAAGAAGGTTGGCAAGGGAAGCAGGGCTGGCTGCAATTAGAAGGCCCAGAGAGCGAGGAACAGGCCTAAACTAGGGCAGGTGCTGCAGGGAGATTACAGGAAGTGATATTGGCGAGTGATACTGGGAAGACATTTCTCAAGTAGAGTCGGCTGCTTTTGCTCATCATTTGAATGTAGGAATGACACAGAGGTAGAATAAAGATAGTGAGGTTTTTTTCTAGCTGAATGACAGGTGAAAATCAGTGTGGTTTACTGAAAACACAGGTGTGGAAACAAGCTGAGCATGATGAGTGAGTACCTTTAATTTTAAACCAGTTTTGAGATATTATACCCCAGAATGCTTTGTAAGCTTGAAGGATGTTTTTCACACAGGGAATGGGGCTGACTGCAGCTCCTGGATCTGACCTTGTCCTCTGGGGGTTGAATCCATACCCTTGAAGTGGGGACAAAAGCTCAGGGCAGACCGTAGACTATTAAGCAACGTGGACAGCCAGGATCGAAGTCACAGGGACTGTCAGACTGAGAGGAGCCTTTGGTAACTTTGCAGGCCGGCTGTGCTGGGCCTCCTGCGCTCTGCCTCTTCCCGCTAGGAATGCTGGGATGTTTAGGTTACACAACAAATCCCCCTCTACACCAGAAGGGGGAGGAACCTTTTGAACTCTGCCCATCCGTGCCTTCATTCCCCTCCACTTCCACGTGCTTCTCATTAAACGACTGATAGAAGGGGCTGGGGTTGTTGGTAGATTTATCATCACTCTGTCCTCCTCCAACTCAATCCTCCAGAAGAGCTTATGGTCTTAAAGGAAAAGGGGCTTTGAAGAATAAAGTGCAGCTATCAGGGAAAAATGGATTTTAGGGCTATGTCTAGATATTGGTTTCCTTTTCTTTCTCTTTTTGCCTCTTTATTTTGTTTTAAAGGGCAGGTGTTTTCTGGTGTTTTGGGGCAGAACAGCATCTCTGGTATTTCTTTGGAGCTAGTGAAATCCTGAGACACCTCTTCCTGGTCTGGTGGAGGTTGGACTAGATGAAGTTGAAGGTCCTCTCGGTCCTGAGCATCTAAGATACGGTTCTAGGCGTCAGTTAGTTGAGGAGGCACCACATGCTCTATGTGACTGCTTTGAGACCCTGGGAAATTCATTTTACCTCTCTAAATCTAGATTTTCTGATTTTTCAAATGAGGACAATTATCCTGTGTGTATACATTGTAGGCTGTTGTGAGGATCAAATGGAAATGTTAAAGTTTAGTCTGTAAAAGGCTATGTGCTTCCAAGGAACTTGCACCTAACTGGTGACTTTACCCAGACATCTGCTTCACCAGTTTATGCCAGTTGAACTGTGCCTGGAGGCCTAGAACTTGGGCAGTGTGTAAATAACCAGGACCCATCTTCATGGGGACCCAGATCTCCTCATCTGTACCATAAGTCTAATAGTAACTATCTTATAAGGCTGTAGTGAGTAATAAATAACATAATTCCACCCGCCTCTTCTTCCATCCATCTGTCCATCTGTCAATCTATGTATCTATGTATCTATCTATCTATCTATCTATCTATCTATCTATCCATCCATCCACCCATAGATTTGTGTTGAACCTTGTTCTTTACCCTTGTTTCTATGCTGAGTTCTGGGGATACAAAAATAAGACATGATCCTGTCCTCTAGGAAAGCACAATCCAGGCACAGAGATACGAAACCAACCAAAAAGTTATAAAAGAACATGAGAATTCAGGGAAACACCTCCATTGGAGGTATGGGAGATCCCAAGGGAGAGTAGCATTTAGATTAGCCTGGGGGCCTGGGGGCTGTCGTCGAAGGCTCCTTACAGGAGATGGCACCTGAGCTGAGACTTTTTAATTGTAATTTAAAATTTATGTGGGTATGTAGGAGGTGTATATATTTATGGGGTATACTAGATGTTCTGATACAGACATGCAATGTGAAATAAGAACACCGTGGAGAATGGGGTGTCCATCCCCTCAAGCATTTATCCTTTGAGTTACAAACAATCCACTTACACTCTTAAGTTATTTAAAAGTATATAATTAAGTTATTGTTGACTAGAGTCACCCTATTGTGCTATCAAATAGTAGGTCTTATTCATTCTTTCTAATTTTTTTTTTTTTTGGTACCCACTGAACTGAGACCTGAAGGATGAGTCGGCCAGGTGTGGGGCTTGGCAGGGCATCGGAAAAGTGAACCACTGTTCAGGAAAAAGGGCTGGCATAGAATGTTCTTCCTCCATAACTTCACATGGCTTGCCTCTGACTTCTTCCAGGCCTTTGCTCAAAATGTCGTCTCATTATAGGCATTTTCTCTATGCACCCTGGTCACACACTCCATCCTTTTACTTTGCTTTAGTGTCCTTTTTATCACTGAAATCATACTATATACACTTTGTGTACTTATAGTCTGTCTTCCCTATTGAAACGTAAGCTCTATGTGGACAGGGACCTTATCTGTCTTGTTTAGTGCGATATCCCTGTCACTTAGGATCTGACAGTGTATTGGTTTGTTAGGGCTGACGTAATAAGGTGCTATAGACTGTGTGGCTCAAACAGCAGAAATTTATTGTTTCATAGTTCTTGTATTAGTCAGGGTTCTCTAGTGGGGCAGAACTAATAGGATAGATGTATATGTGAAAGGGAGTTCATTAAGGAGAATTGACTCACAAGATCACAAGGTGAAGTCCCACAGTAGGCCATCTGCAAGCTGAGGAGCAAAGAAGCCAGTCCGAGTCCCAAAACTTCAAAGTAGGGAAGATGACTGTGCAGTCTTCAGTCTGTGGCCAAAGGTCCAAGAGCCCCTGGCAAACCACTGGTGTAGGTCCAAGAGTCTAAAAGCTGAAGAACTTGGAGTCTGATGTTCAAGGGCAGAAAGCATTCAGCATGGGAGAAAGATGAAGCCTGGGAGACTCAGCAAGTCTGCCTCTTCCACATTCTTCTGCCTGCTTTATTCTAGCCTTGCTGGTAGCTGATTAGATGGTGCCCACCCAGATCAATGGTGGGTCTGCCTCTCCCATTCCACTGACTCAAATGTTATTCTCCTTTGGCATCACCCTAACAGACACACCCAGGAACAATACTTTGCATCCTTCAGTTCAATCAAGTTGACACTCAATATTAACTGTCACGGTTCTGGAAGCTAGAAGTCCAAGATCAAGGTGTGGGCAGGGCTGGTTTCTTCTAGGGGCCATGAGGGAGACTCTGTTCCTTGCCTCCCTCCTAGCTCCTAGTGGTTCCTTCAGTGTTCCTTGGCTTATAGTCACATTACTCCACTCTCTGCCTTCATCTTCACATTGACATTTCACCTGTGAGTGTGTGTCTATGTTCAAATTTCCCTTCTTATAAAGTCACAATTCATATGGAATTAGGGGCCCAGCATATTTCATTTTATTGCACCTGCAATGACTGTGTTTCCAAATAAGATCATGCTCTGAGATATCAGGTGTTAAGACTCCAGCATATGAATGCTGGAGGGACACAATTCAACCCATAAGCGACACATAGTAAATATGTCTGTTGAATGGAGGAATGAATGGCAAAGGCACGGAGGCAAGAACTAGCATGGAGCCTGTAGAGGGCTCTGGGTTGTTTGGGATTCTTGGCTCAAAAAGAGCAAGGCAGGGAGTGGTGAGGGCTGACACCTGGAGGTGTATGTAGCGCCTCCTTGGCACATGGGGAGCACTCAGATGGTAGCTGCTACAATTTTCATTTTTACTTGTCATTAGGTGAATGCATGACTCTCTCTGGGGCAATGCATCCCTGTTCCTAGAAGACTCAGTTCACAGCAAGCGGGGCTGACCTGTCAGCAATTTGGGCTGGCGTCATCCTGTTTTCCAAAAGCCACGTGTTCACCAGCTTACTCAGCAGGTCCTTGAGGCACACATCTTGTACGGAGGCCTTCTAACCTGGTCGCTGTTCCTTTATACTCCAACAATAGGTTGTATTCTGCCCACTGATAAATAGTCTGTTATTCATGAGCTGAGATCAGGGAAGGGTTGGTGGGAGTTCCGGAATGTTTCCTTTAGGGTCATAACCACTGACACACAATTTCTGACTAATAACCCTTGTGATACAGCATGGGCAAGGTAACAACATAAATAGCAAAGGAAACCGAGATTAATGTGGAAATGTCCCTGGATATCAGGATAGGAAGTTGCGAAGGAGCCAAGGGGGCTCCTTGGAGAATGAGCTGGAAGTCGGGAGAGATAACCTAATGGTGGAGTGAAAAAGGGGCTCTGGTGTTGACACAGCCTGACATGAATCCAGCCTCTTCCTCCTATTAGCTGTGGGATCTGAGGCAAGTCACCTTCCCACTGTGAATCAGTTTCCCCTGCTCAAAGGTGGGAATAATATAACCCATTGTGAAAATGGGAGAATGCATGAGAATTTAACATAGGGCCTGGCATTTGAAGGAGCTCAATGCATGGTAACAGTCATAATAACAGCTCACACCAATGGAGGGATTATAATGGGCAAGGCATTATTCCAATTGCTCACCCATGAGGTCGGCGCATCATAAAACTCTTTTTGCAGTTGACAAAACAAGTTTGGAGGGTTTAAGTAAAAGCCTAAAATCACATGGTTACTAAGTGGTGGAGCTGAGATTCCAACTCAGGCAGTCTATGCTAAGAGCTTGTGCATTTAACTGTTATGCTAGGTAGTTGTAGCCATAATTATAATTGATGTGAATGTTCACTAGCTACAAGGTAAACATTTGGGGCTTTTTCAGTCAAGAAAACTGGAAACAAGCTAAATAATAAAAGTGATTAAAAGTTATTAAACAATTCTCAGGTTCCAGGTTATAAAAATACTTAGATTATCTCAATAATGCTCATGTTTGGCCTGGAAAAGATGTATTCTCACCTGCATTTTAGAAACAAGGAAACTAAGACTCAGAAATATGGCACAGCTAAGATTCAAATCCAAATCTGTTTGAGTTCAAAGCCCAGCCTCTCTCCATCATACCTGCTGCCTCCAGGAAATTAGCTAGAGGTCACCTTCTAGGGGCTGCATGACATCCCAGAGCAGGGATGACTAATACCTGGGAGGCTTTTCCTGACTTGCGTCAGAGCTGACAGGGACGGAGAACCATGAACAAGTTCCCAGCATAGTGGGTCCAAAATGAGTAACAAATCAGACGCCCAAAGGAAGTTTAAAAGGCAATAGGAAAAATACTACTGGGATCTGATGGACCATGGAGTGCAGAGGAAACATAGCAGAGCAAGGAAGATGGATAGGAGAGCCTATATTTAAAACTGGCTCGACGTAAGGAAGGAAGCGATCGACCTAATTTTAGAAAGACTCAGACTCTGAGGCTCCTAAGGTATGAGACGTGGAAACTCGGGTGAGGATTATTTATCATTTATCAGCCTTGGCTTCCAGAGGAGGGGTTGGGGCTGATTCAGCTGAAAAGCATCCCCCATGGGCTTTGAAGTCAGATAGATCTAGGGTCGAGCTGAACTTGGCTGAGTGACTAATTTCACCAGTCTGAGCCTTGGTTTCCTCATCTATAATATGGGGCAATAGTATCTACCCAATAGCGTTTTTTTCCCCAGAGTTAAATGAGAAAATATAGAAAGGGTCTAATAAATTACGTGGCCCAGATGGATACTCAATTAATGTCATTGAATGAATCTTCATGGAGAGAGCACATGTTTATAAAAAAAAGTCTTCAGTGAATCATGATAAGAGTATTGCCAATGGTCTCTAATTTCTTTAGATTAGAAAAGAGGTTTTCATGTTGCTTGCATTTGGTCTTTTCCTTATTTAATGTCTGCCACACTCTGAAGACTTTAAGAATGTTTAATAATTGAATGATTCTGTATTTATATACTCAAACCCTGGCATAAAATATTCTTGCTAATTACATAATGCACTCTGGTTTACATTATAGGACTTTTGGGTTTTTTTTTTTTTAACACCATAATCTCTTTTTTTCTTCAAAATTGAGATAGCTTTATTTATTTTTTCCTGGTTCTAAGAATAATAAAATTTTGTTGAATTTTTTTTTTTTTTTTTTTTTTTTAGTCAGAGTCTTGCTCTGTAGTCCAGACTGCAGTGCAATAGCACAATCTCAGCTTACTGCAACCTCTCCCTCCTGGGTTCAAGCGATTCCCCTGCCTCAGCCTCCTGAGTAGCTGGGATTACAGGTGTACATACCCTCGGCTAATCTTTGTATTTTTCGTAGAGATGGGGTTTCACTATATTGGCCAGGCTGGTCTCGAACTCCTCACCTCAAGTGATCCCCCTGCCTCAGCCTCCCAAAGTGCTTGGATTACAGGTGTAAGCCACCATGCCCGGCCAAAAATAATTTATGAACTCACTGTGCTATGAAGTAGAAAGTGAAAGAATACCCTCTAATTTGACTTCCTAGATATAACCATCTTTTATGCATATATGCTTTTAGATTTTATTCTATACTCATATAAGCACATATGTTGCATTGCCTTCTACACACACTCACACACACACACATTTAGTGCAGTCTTGACTTTTAGCTGAATACATTGCCGCCTAAAATAAAGACAACATGTCCTAGCCTCCCCTTCAGCTAGATGTGTCCATGTGGTTAATATCTGGCCGTTGACAGAACAGAAGACATGTTGTGGAGCACCATAGAAGTAGCTTTCTTGGATGAGAGGTGTGTCTTTTTATGCTTTTTTTTGCCCTCTTTCTTCTGGACTACAGAACAGATGTGAAGCAATCAACTTTTTTTTTTTTTTTTTTTCTTGAGATGGAGTTTCGCTCTTGTTGTCCAAGCTGGAGTGCAATAGCTCAGTCTCGGCTCACTGCAATCCACGACTCCCAGGTTCAAGCGATTCTCCTGCCTCAGCCTCCTGACTAGCTGTGATTACAGTCATGCACCACCACACCCAGCTTATTTTGTGTTTTTAGTAGAGATGGGGTTTCTCCATGTTGGTCAGGCTGGTCTCGAACTCCCGACCTCAGGTGATCTGCCCACCTCAGCCTCCCAAAATGCTGGGATTATAGACTGAGCCACTGCACCCAGCCTGAAGCAATCATCTTAAGCCATGAAGTGACCCTGAGGAGGCAACCACACACTGGACACCGAGGGAAAGGCACATGAATCATGATAACTTAATGGAATAGCCATGCCAGACCTGATTGACCTTCCTCAGGCCTTCCTTATCACTGGAGAATAATCCTCTGTGATTTTATGTCACTGCGGTCAGGTCTTCTATGACTTGTACTTGGTACTTGGATACAATCTCTAAATGATACACAGTCCTCCTGCCCTCTTAAATTAAATTTGTATTATAGATATTTTCCACTGTCAATGCATAAAAAATCTACCATATTCTTTTTAATAACATAATATTCATAATAGTCCATTGCAAGGATTTATCAAAATTTACTCAATTCTTTATTGACAAAACTCAAAATTTCTTTAGAAATTATAAACACTGTGGTATAGAAATCTTTGTGCACAATTTAATATTCTCTTAGGATAAGAAGAGGAATTTTAAGGCTAAAAGATTTGTGCATTTTAAATGGATAGGTATTGCCAAATTGTCTCTAGAAAAGTTGTTCCAAGCTATACTTCTTAGGTAGAATTATATATTTATGTAATTACACATATATATGTTATACATTCAAAGCATGAAGAATAGCATAAGAAATGTGGTATGCCTTAAGGCCGGGCGCGGTGGCTTACGCCTGTAATCCCGGCACTTTGGGAGGCTGAGGCGGGCGGATCACGAGGTCAGGAGATCAAGACCATCCTGGCTAACACGATGAAACCCCGTCTCTACTAAAAATACAAAACATTATCCTGGCGTGGTGGTGGGTGCCTGTAGTCCCAGCTACTCGGAGGGCTGAGGCAGGAGAATGGCGTGAACCCGGGAGGCGGAGCTTGCAGTGAGCCGAGATGGCGCCACTGCACTCCAGCCTGGGCGACAGAGCAAGACTCTATCTCAATAAATAAATAAATAAATAAGTTTGGTACGCCCACTATCCAGTTGAAGAAATAGAACATTTCCACAGCCCTTCTGAAAAGTCCTGTGCACCAACCCTCATCAACCAGCAGGCTAGTATCTCTTTGGCTCTTTCGACAACCCTTGAAGCGAGTGGAACTCTTTCACGAGCAAGTGATAGACAACAGTGATAGATAACGCACACCCCTGCTCTGCAAAAGAATGTATCAGTTCATACAGTTTCGAGATCCTGGGCTGGGACTGGCTGGAGGGGTCTCACATGATCTCTCTTCCTCTCTCAGGACTCCTTTCTTCCATGTTGGCTTCAGTCTCAGTTTCCACATAGCACCAGGATGGGCCAGCAGCTCCAGGCCTGCATTCCCCAGGTTTATATCTAGAGGAAAAAAATACTGCATCTTCCCTTTAGCTCCCACACACGACCTGGCTTCACTCTGATTAGATTAACCAGAGTACCGAGCCAGTCCTGAGCATACTAGCTCCCACTATGGCTTTGTCATCTGGAGTCTATCAAAGCCTTTCTGATGCTAATTTATACTTTCTGCCTGTATTGGAATAACAAACCCCGGGAGTTAACTACTTTTTTTTGTAATGCACTCCCTGGTAGAGGACAGTACAGAGATAATGTCTGCTAACATTTACTGAGTGCTGTAAAGTCCCGGATGCCTCACCTTATTCAATCTGCCTAATGTCTCTGCAAGGTGTGTATAATGCCCATTTTATAAATGAGGAAAGTAGAGAAGATAAGTAACTTTGAGCTCACATGTGTGTGTTGAGGCTGGGATCCAGCCCCAGGTTGACCTCACTCCAATGTCTAGTGGCCACGCGGCAGGCCACATGGCCTCCCTTGCAATAGGCATGTGTTTACCTCACAGGGCTGTTGAAAATGTCACATGAAAACACTGTGTCAGCTGAAGCACTTCACAAACATCAGTTCACCGAACTCACTGATATGCCCTAGATTTACCTCCTTCGAGCCCCCAGGGGGAAAGGAAGAGGACAGATTGGTCACTGGCCTTGTCATCCTGAGATCAAAAAATTAAGCAGGGGAAGAAAGAGACAAATTATTCCCCGAACTGTTTTTCTGTATTTCTACAAAGGCTGTTTACAACTCTTCAGGATTTTAAGAATTATACAAACCACTTTTAAAAGAACTATGTACTCTAGACAAACAAGGTGCTGGGAGGACCCTGTGAGGGGTGGTAGAAAGAATTAGAATTCAGAGTGGACAGATCTGGGTTCCAGCCCTGCCTCTGGCCATTGCTGGCCCTACTGTGTGCCTTGGAGCATGGCCCAGTCTTCTTGCTGGCCTCAGTTTCCCCATTGGTTCAACAAGGGGTTTGAATAGAGACATTTCCCATCCTGAAGTTTTTCATCTGTAGAATAAATATGGGGTGGGGGTGATGAGGAGGTGATAGTGGCCCCAGGCTCACCAGGTTATCATCTCTGAAGGTTTCAGAGAAAAAAGAAAGTATCTTCCATTGACATTAGAACAACCTCCTTGTGGGCTGAGGAGGAGCTGAGGAATGGGACCCTAGGGGGTTTCCTGCCTCTGGAAATATTTGGCTTTGGTTATTCCCCAGTCAAAAGCTTTGTGACTCCTGCAAGGAGTTGCTTGGAGTACATGGCCAAGCTCCAGTTTGGATGTGAGGAATATAGGTCATTAGTAAGAGATTTTAATGTCCCGTAAACTGGCTTCCTGGAGGGGAGTGCTCACTCCAGTATAATTGAGCTGTTAGTGAGAAACTCAGCCTGTTTGCAGCCAAGGACATGCAGAGTTTGGGGAGAGAGTCCTGGGGAAGTGCAGTGTCAGGAGATGAGATGAGCACTGGCCTGGGAGTCAGGGGCTGTATTCCAGGCTCTGTCACTGACCCGGGCAAGTCACTCACTTCTTCTCCCTGGGCCTCATTTTCTTTGTTTTCAAAATGAGGGGTAGTATTGAATGTGCTTTGGGGCTTTCCAGTTCAGACAAAAAGCATATGAGGAGGTTAAGCCAACAGATGCTGGAGCCACCCTGCCTGAATTCTGATCCAGCCCTGCTACTCACTGTCTTTGTGTCCTTGGGTGATTTATTTTAACTCTCTGCACTTCAGTTTTCTCATCTGTAGAATGGGAATAGACTCACCACATGTGGTTTTGTAACAATTAAATGTAAAGCACTTAAAATAATGCCTGGCATAAAGTAAATGCTCTCCAAGTACAAGCCATTATGTGACTAAATTGCCATAACACATTATGAAGGCTCACCCATTCCAGAGCAGGCAATGCCCTCTGTGCAGGAGGATGGGAGGAGCAGCGCTTCTGCTGTGGGGATGGCCAGCCTGCGAGGCTTCAGCCATGCACCAGGCTTTCTATGGCAGGGGGAAGAGGACTGTACCCAACCAACTCTGTCCATTGAGGACTGTACAGGGAGGAGGCGTCTTGCTAAGGAAAACTCTGTGGGGTCAAAGTCTAAGACACACTGTCTCATGGCAGGGAAGAGGGAAAAGTAAAAGAAAGGAGGGGCAGCGGAGGTGGTTTCCTCTGCATACAGTCGGAGTATGGTGTGCTTTGGGTGAGACATGGGTTCACATCCTGGCTATGTTACACTCACTTTTTGTGGGAGCCTTGGATGAGTCTGTGGATTTTTCTGTCCTTCTTGTCACTCATTTGTCAGATGAGAACATAGTATCCAGATCTGTGATCTGCAGATAGTGTGAATGGAATAATGGCACAGTGTTGGCTACGATGAGGATGCTGAAGTGTGAGTGGAATCAGAATCAGAAGACAGGAGGCTATGGCCTGTGACAGCACCAGGGCAGGCCAAAGAGCGGGGGGTGGTTGGTGGTGGTGGTGGTAATATGTGTGTGTGTGTGTGTGTGTGTGTGTGTGTATATAAGGGTGTGTTACAGTGTCAGTGGGGAAGGAGAAAGAGGGATGGTTTGCAGTTTCTTGAGGTTTGGTAAGGCCTTATCCAATGACATGTCCAAGTATCTTTAGCTTAAATTTCCCTGCCAGGGCTCAGGCCCACACCCCTTCCACGTGGACACCTGTACCAGCCTCTTCCCTGGTCCCTGCCTTCACTCTTGCTGTGATCAGAGTTATCCTTCTAAAATGGAGGCCAGGCACAGTGGCTCATGACTATAATCCCAGCATTTTGGGAGGCCGAGGCAGGCAGATCACTTGAGGCCAGGAGTTCAAGACCAGCCTGTCCAACATGGCAAAACCCTGTCTCTACTAAAAATACAAAAATTTGCTGGGCGTAGTGGCATGTGCCTGTAGTCCCAGCTACTTGGGAGGCTGAGGCAGGAGAATTGCTTGAACCCGGGAGGCAGAAGTTGCAGTGAGCCCATTGTGCTACTGCACTCCAGCCTGGACAACAGAGCAAGACTCTGTTTCAAAAAAAGAAAAAAAAGAAAAAAAAAACAGTAGAGATTTGATAGCATCACTATGATGGCTCCCCCTGTCCTTGGGATAAAAAATAAGCCTCTGAGTAAGAGTATCTTCTGACTGTTGGCAGAGGTCCATTGTCCTCCCTTCCCCACCCTGCTGTGTGCCCCAAGACTCTGACCTGTGTGGAGTGCATTCCTGGACCCACACACATTTACATTTTCAGTTGGATTCAGCCAGTGAAGCCCAGCAAGAGACGGGAGGGCAGGAGGAGAGCAGTCAGTGTTTACCTTTCGCCTCCCTCTTATCTGGTCTTCCCTCTACCTGGAGGCCACAGCTCCTGCCATAGTGTTCCCTATGCTGCTTCCTCCTCTTGCCCCTCCAGGCTTCAGGGTGGTAATGGCTACTAGCCCAGGAGTAGTGCAGCATCCATTATTACTTCTCATCTTCCCTGCCCACAGTTTGTGCAAAGTTCCTTTGCTAAACTTTTCTTAAACCACTCAGGTGAGCATGCCATCTCTTTGCTGCTGGGTCCCTGACTGACAACAGCTTACAAGGTCCCACAGGATCTGCCCCGGCCTATCTTTGCCCTTGAACCCAGTGTTCCAACTTCTCTCCACTATTCAAAGGCAACAGCCTCTTTCTCAGCCCAGAGCTCTCCCGCAACTAGTGCTTTGCCCAGGATGACTTCATTTCTCTGTATTGACTTCCTCCAAGAAGTCTTCCTTAATCCCCCTGGGCTGGGTGTGAGCCCCTTCTCTGGCTCTGATCCCCTGCACTCCCCATCGCAACATGCACCGTATATACTATGATTGTCTGCTTACTCTGTCTTTCCTACCAGACTGTAACCCCCTGTGGGCAGGACAGGCACCATGTCTCACCCTCAGAGAAGGGAGAGGTGAAGAGCACAGACTCCAGAGCGAGGCTACCTGCTTTGTCACTCATCAGCTGTGTTTGTGTAGCCCTAAGCAAGGTCCTTAGCCTCTATATGAACGGTTACCTCATCTGTAAAATGGGGATACAGATAATATCTACCTATAGTATTGTGAGGATTAAATTAGCTCATATACATAAAATACTTAGTTTTACATATGGGATTACTACATGGAAAATGTTAGGTATGTAGTCAGTTTGTGACACAAAGTGTGTGTTCGATGAATAGAGAATGAATGAATTATGTCTAATAGGTATATCATAGCACAATACTCTTTCTCATTTAGTTTTTATAGCAGCCATATATAACAGAAGGCAGAAATTCTATTCCCACTTTTCAGACGGGGACCCTAAAACTTGGAGGGACTTGCCCAGAGACCCACAATTAACACAGAGCTGAGGGACATATGGAACCTGGGAAGTGAGACCCCCTAGCTGGCTGCCCTCTCCTGAGGGTTGGGCAGCCTCTCCTTCAGCTGCCCCAGGGTATGAGGAGGCTGGTGGGATTCAGCTCCAGCCCGTTCTCCTGCTCTGGGATAGGGGAAGCTGCAGAGTATAGAATCCAGTGCCCTTAGGGGCCTCAGCTTTGATCACTTTCCCTGAAAGTCTCTGAGTCACCTTTGGGATTTTCCGGGCCGTAAGGTCCTGGAGGGTTAAAAACAAAAGTCCAATGTGTCGCAAGTTGACCCAGGCGTCCATCTGGGAAACTAGCGGGAGCTAGTGGGAGAACCCCAGGAAGTGAGACTCAGAAGGGAATATGCCTTTAATGTTTCAATGAATAGCAATGATAATAATAATAATTTATTTAAGGTCTGTCATAACTAAGAACATTTATTTGGTGCTTCCGGGAGTGCACGCATGCTCTGATGGCACTCGGCATGCTACACTCTGATCAGTCACATCTGTGCCTGTTGTACTTGTCAGTGGAGATTCTCATTTAACCCCTGAACCCCAGAACTCAGCTCTGTGCCTGATAACCCAAAGGAGTCCCAGTGGTTGTGGAATGACGGACCAAATACATGACTGGATCTAGCATCTTCCTTGTTCCCCACACAACTCCATTTTACAGATAAGGAAACTGAGGTTCAGAGAGGATAAATGCTTCAATGAAGGTAATACTTGTGAATCCAGTTTCTCCAGGAGGCCTCATGGTTTAATGACGAGGAGCCAAAGTTTTCAGATCAAACGGACCTAGGTTCATATTCTCAATCTGCCAGCTACCTGCTGTGTGATATAAGTTACTCAACCTCTCCGAGCTTCAAGAGTGTTATTGGTGAAATGGGCACAGTAATAGTAAATATTTTATCTGGTTATTTTAAGGATCAGCCTAATGCATGCAAAAAGACTGGCACACTGGCACAAAGAAAGAGCTCCGCAAATGTTGGTTACTGTTATCACTATTCTTATTGCCTTTATTATCCTTTTCATTGTTATTTTTTCTTATTTTGTAAAAGAAAGTACTGCACTATGGGTTATTTTGATTATTGAATATGCACCTGGCATATACGAGGACGATGACCAATTAGTGACTGTCCTTTCTTTTTGGGAGTTTCATTTTATTAGTCCTTTTCTTTCTGGGGGTTAGTCTAGTGTAGCCTCTACTATGACTCATGGCCCCAGAGCTGAATGTTTTCAAGGGGTTCATGAAGCCCCAACTCTTGCTGATATGGGAGCATGGAAAAGGATGACGAAATTGGGGGTGATGACCTGGGAGTAGGCTTGCTACAGGCAGGTGGGTAGAAAATATTGCTCAGCTTCTAAGCAAGCCGAGAATCACTTCAGGACAGCCCCAAATTGCCACACTTATCCTGCTCTGCTTGAGAGAGGTGGCCATATGAGCTATTTCAGGGACTTTCCAAGGAATTCTGGAAGCTTCTTGCCAGTCCCTCTCTCAATCTTTCCTTGGGGAATGAGGCTAATTCTTTTTATATCTTCTGAGATATGTTTTCTCTGAAAGACAATTCAAGGGCCAGCAACTTGAACACTATTTTATAATTCAGTTAGGAGCCATGTTGTCTCTCCAACATGGGGAGACTGTACTAATGGGCCTATGCTATATCAGGTTTATAAACCTGGGAGATGCTTACGTCCTTTTCATGATACAGAATGGGAAACTGAGGTCAAGTGTCATGGTTGGGAAGAGACCCAGACTGTGGGACTCATCACTAAAGAGTCAGCGTGAAGGAGTAGGAAATGTAAACCAGCCTGGGCTATAGCCTGGTTTTGCTATTTATTACCTGAGTGATCCTGGGCAAAAACTCCAATACCCTGGACCTCAGTTTTCTTACCTGTGAAATAAGCGTAATGATACCTTCCTCCCAGGAGTAGCAGAAAGCATAGAAAAGATAATGGAAAGAGAAGCCCCTAGCATATACTTGGCATAAAATAAGTTCCCCTTTCCTCCTGCCTCTCCTTCCTTCCTGAAATAAAGAGGGGCTTTGGAATCAGACTGGCCTGGGTTCAAATCCTGTGTGAACTTGAGAAAAGAATTAACTTTTATGGGTCTTGGTTTTCTCATTTGTGAAATGGCAACAAGAACAACCACGTTGAGGGTCTTTGAGGAATCAGAGATGACATAAGAGCCCTCCTAGACAACGCTGCTCTCCTTCCTTCCACTATCCTCCGGGATTCCTTCTGCAGCCTCACAGGCTAGGGTTCCCTACTCTGAGTAAGGGAACAGGGAAATGTGTCTGCAAGTCTCTAGCCTCTCTGGGCAGGTACAGTGTACCCAGCTCAGGGCTCATCAGCAGAGCTGGTGGTGCTGGGGACAGAACACTCCCTTCCAGCCCTCAGGCCACTTCAGGACACAGATCCCTCAGGGGGTGTCAAACCCAAAAGGATCACTGCAACAGTTTCCAGAGGGGTTGTTGGAGACTTGGACACATAAATAACCCCTATGAGACAGCCCCTTGGCATGCCTTCCTTGTGGGGAGTAAACATTACGTTATTCAGAGAGACACTTAGGTTTCAAACCACTTCATATTTAATCAGCAATCATGCTCCCTTCCAAAAGCCATGCCAGGAAAAACATCAGTTTAGTTTTTGACAAGAAACAAGGCATTCTGAAAACTTGTGCACATAGCCCGAGCCTCAAGGGACAAACTCATGGCTCTGTTTGGAGTCAGAGGTGGTGTTTCGACCTGGGACACTGTGGCCAAAATGATGCACTTCCGTCTGGTGTTTGCAGTCGTCCTGAGGAGCAGTGGTGGATTGCTGGAGAACAGAAGGAGGAACCAAGGCTGCAGGCAGAAGAGACTTGCACTGGAATCCCACCTGTGCCTTTCATTAGAGCTGTGCCCTTCAGCAAGATGTTTAACCCCTTGGAGTTTCATGGTCTTTACTGTAAACTAGGAATAACTATGTCTGCTTGGAAGGTTGGGATGAGATCTAGCCAATGCATTCGGTTGAGCCATATGAAATTGCCATTTTTAAAGGTCAAAAATGATAGACTATTGGCAATTGGCAATTTCGTATGCTTCCAGCTACTAGATAAGGTGCCTGGCATATGTGAACAGTCTCTTAACTGTGCTAAGCATTTTACATAATCTAAAACTTTAGTAGGCTTAAGAAATGGGGGCTGAGGCCGGGTGTGGTGGCTCACGCCTGTAATCCCAGCACTTTGGGAGGCCGAGGCAGGTGGATCACCTGAGGTCAGGAGTTTGAGACAAGCCTGGCCAACATGGCAAAACCCTGTCTCTACTAAAAATACAAAAATTAGCCAGGCGTGGTGGCAGGTGCCTGTAATCCCAGCCACTCAGGAGGCTGAGGCAGGAGAACTGCTTGAACCTGGGAGGCGGAGGTGGCAGTGAGCAGAGATTGCGCCACTGCACTCCAGCTTGGGTAACAAGAGTGAGACTCTGTCTCAAAAAAAAAAAAAAAAAAAAAAAAAAAAAAAAGAAGTGGGGGTAGTGAGGTATGGGTAAAAAATCTGATTTAGAAGATCTTTGGGGGAGCCTAAAATCTGCATTTTAACAAACTTGTTATTACTCCTCCAGGTGATTTTTTTTTTTTTTTTGAGACAGGGTCTCGCTCTATCACCCAGGCTGAAGCACAGTAGTGTAGTCATAGCTCACTGCAGCCTCCAACTGCACTCCAGGTGATTTTGATGAGGTGATGCTTAGTGCTCAGTTGATCAAGGCTTTGAATGAATAAAGACCTGAAAAGAAGGGAATAGATAGAATAGTAAATTGCAAATCCCTCTCGCAACTCACTGTCTAGGTCTGTTTGTTTGTTTTCTTTTTTTGGTTCAGATGAGTGTAGCAAGATTAGCGTGTGTGTGTGTGTGTGCGCGTGTGTGTGTGTGTGTGTGTGACTGAGAGAGAAAGGGAGAGAGTTCACGCATGCACTCACAAGAGGGCACTTGGAAGTCCCTCTGATGGCATTTAAGCCACCTAACTCTAATATCTGGGACTTCTCTTCCCCTTTGAATTACCTTAGTCTTTGGATCATTCTGAGGTAGAGGTTGGTCAATATGTGTTATACCCTCAGTAGCTGTCTTCAATATTCTAATATTTAGAACAGTTTCAACTATTTCAAAATGTCCTTAAAAGTTGGAGGAAGAGGTATTAGCCAAGAGGTATTAGCCAATAGGGAAATGTAAATATCAGATCTGGAAGCAAGTTGTGAGCCTGATCCAAGCTCTGCACATCTCAGGTGAGGAAGACATGAGCCAGGAAGGTGATGGCACCTCCCAAGGTTATGCAATGTGAGTTGGGGCAGAGGTGGAGGTGGAACTCAGGTGGAGCTTTGCTCTCGTGGGAGCCTGTAACTAACCTTACCTTAGTCTCCTTATCGCTGTATGGACTTCACAAATCCTGGCCAGCGGGGTCTGAGTTTCCCCAATGTGTACCTACCTGACTTCTTTCAAATGCTCCTTCCTGTTGCAATTTATACTGTACACATATCTTCCAGGTAAAACAGTCCTATTAATTCTTCTATTTATTCAATAAGTATAAATCAAGTACACTGAGGATGCAGTGGTGAGCAAATCAGGCATTATTCTTACCCTCATGAATTCTACGGGCTTCATCTTCCCAATAGGTATAATTATGAGTGCTCTAAGGTAAATGCAATGGAACTTATGTATAATGGCGAGACCTGCTCTAGTTGAGGCTTTGTAGAGGTTGCCTGTTCTTTACCTTATGATGGGTACCTGGTGATGAGTCCAGCCTCCAAAATATTTTTGCAAAGTTTTTTGAATCCATAGTAATCCCAGGCGCCATGCTGGTCTTTATAGCTTAGCTGTAGATATAGAAGAAAGGAGAATGAAGCCAGAAAGAGTGCCGATACTTAAGCCAAGCTGATGTTGGCAAAAGCTTTGTACCTCACATGGTTAGGAGGGAGTCCTACTTCCTGTGGGTAGGTGGTCTTGGGGTCCCCACCAACCTCAGAGGTGCTACCTGTGTTGCTTGGTCTTCAGCTCTGTCCCCACACCTGCAAAACAGGGACAATAAGACTCTTTCCCTCAGAGGGGTTATTGTGAGAATTAATTGAAAAAACATGAAGAAGTGCCTAACTCTGTGTCTTATCTTATAGTGCCTGAAGAATATTAACTCGTTTCCCACAAGAAATTTGCTCCACACAAATTAGACACTATGTGGCATGGGCCAGGCTTGAGCTAGATGTGTTGGTCTCCTAGTCCAGAACCCTCTGACTCTACGATGTCCTGAGCTCTCATCAGGATAAGCTGTGGAACGTTCCAGAAAACCTTAACTTTATGCTTTAAGTCTGAACTTTTATTTAGGAGATATTAGGGATCCACTCTGCTCTTTGAGCAAGGTGTCATATGACATAGCTGCTTTTAGGTCATGAACGACCAGGTGGATGTGGGGGTTGAGGAGGAGATGAAAGCTAGAGGCCAAGAGGCCATTTGATTTTGACTATCTCATGAATTCAGTCCTACGGGAACCCTCAACTCCTAAAGCAGGGCAGGAAGCAGCTGGGAGGGACAGATGGGAGAGTGTTCAACTCCCCAACAGAAGCACTTAGTGGCTGCCTGGGTCATTTGAGCCTGGTTCTGATTTCATGGACACGGCTCATCGCCTGCATCCTCAGTGTCTACTTCAGTGCCTGTTGCTGCTGGGTTGGCTGGTGACCATCTTGTTTTACCCTTTGAAGGAGGCAGTGGCTTCAGACACCAGATTTAAATTGCTGTCACTCAAAATTAAGGCGGTAATCACTCTGCCAGTCACCTATTAGAAATCATGTCATAGTTGTTTTTCATGCAATATCCTTTCCAGACATGGTCTGTAGTTTTCACAGCAACCCTGAAAAATGGGCATTATTATCTATATTTTACAAATAAGGAACTCAAAGTTCTGAGACATTAAACCAATAAACAGTGTGCCAAGGAAACATAGTTTACCAACTGAAAGAAGTAGAAAATGAGCCCAGCCTGCTCTGAGTTTGAAACCTCTTGCTTCCTTCTCAGCCACCTTTTATAGATGCTCCCCTTTTCCAGATGAGGAAACCGAGGCTCAGTAAAGCGAACTGACTTGCCTAAAATCATGCAGCCAGCACAACAGCTAAGTACCAGATAACTTTAATAGAGGGTTCACTATGTCTTGGGCAGTGGGCTAAGACCCTAATGTACACTATCTCATTTAATTCACATAACAGCTTGATGTTACATAATAAATGTGAGAACTGGTATTTATGATCAGGCTTATCTGGCTTCGGGGTTTTCAGTGGTCTGATTCTGCTTTAAAGAAGACAATCTCAAGTCTTCAATGGGAGAGAGGTCATGTTGGCTAAGAAAGCACCTAATCAGAATTTATGGGGTGAAGCTGCTATAAGCCACCACTTCCTCTGAATGCAATTCCTGTCCATTCTTTAATGATGGATAGAAACCTATGCAGTGAGGATCAGGAATGTCTGGCCTCATGTAATGGGCATTTGAGTGAAGTGCACCAGTTACTTGTTATGCTCAATAAAGATATAAAACCCTGAAGACATGAGGATGGCTGAGATCAGATGGATGGGTGCAGCCTGCCTCTCTGGGATCTTTCTTTCCCAAGGAAATTGATGGAAGATGTGTCAGGCTGAGCTCACAGCATTCCAGCCCAGAGGGTCAGCTGTCCGAAACCTGTGCATGCCCTCCACCAGAGATGAGGGGGCTGGGGAAGGGTCTTCACAGTCCCTGACCCAGTAGTGGAGATAAGGCCCTGTCTGCTCTGTAAATACTGCAGACATTCCTGGGAGATGAAAGACAGTTCCACAGGCAGCATCCTAAGCCCCTCCAAACTCCAGGCATGCACTGGCCATCTTAGCCAGCTCGCTCTTTAAACAACACTGTACCATACAGTGACTGCTGTGAAGGGCCCTGGAGGCTGGATGGCAGCAGTTTTATCAGAAGCACAATTTATTTTCTATGTGCATCCCCAGGAGAGCAATCACATTATTGATTTAGAACAATCATAAAGTTAATGGATATTGTTAGAAAGTTTTGCAGCTATATTGAGAGCTTACATATCCACAATCTCTTTTCTCCCTTCTAATAGCCCCATAAGGAGTGCATTGTTATTATCCCCACTTTATGAACTAGGCACTAAGGCCTGGAAAGAGTAAGTTGTTTGTCC
This sequence comes from Homo sapiens, assembly GCF_000001405.40. Taxonomy (NCBI): domain Eukaryota; kingdom Metazoa; phylum Chordata; class Mammalia; order Primates; family Hominidae; genus Homo; species Homo sapiens. The sequence goes on along the minus strand of NC_000001.11, from coordinate 56,442,198 downwards.
TTATGCCTCAGCTACTAAGTAATAGAATAAGGTCTTTTGCTCAGGATGCCTAACTCTGTCTCAGTTTTTTCCTATCATGTGACTTAGAGATCACTTGGTTCAACTTCTGTCTGCCTCCACCACATATTGGACAGATGGGTATCCCATCTACTTGAATATTCAATGTAGCCCATTCCAGGGTTGGACAGCCATAATTTAGTGTTAAAAGTAATGGTAACCATTTTTTGAACTCCTAATAGATACCAACCCATATACTCAATCATATTGCTTCGAATCCTCTGATTAACTTCACATGGTCTAAATTTAAATAAAATGAGTCTTATAGAGCTCAAGTGACTTGCCCAACATCACCCAATCAGGAAGGAATGGAGCAGGGGTTCACATTCAAGTCTGTTATATGACAAACTTCCTGTATTTATCCATAGCCTCACACTTCCTTCTTATGGTGAATGGAAATCAACTCTAATTGCCGTATTGATGTCATAGTTCTGCCCTCTAAAAGCGCAGGACAAGCCTGCTTGCTTTTTCACCAGTGTGTCCACCTGGCTGATGCCAGAAGACATCTTTGCCTTCCAAGTCTTTTCTCCTCCAGGTGCAGAATTTCCAGTCCCTCCATCTCTTCATAATGGGATCAACTGTCGGACGGTTCATGTTCCCACTGTTCACCTTTTAACGCGAAGCATAAAGCGGTAGAAAGAGCATGGGGCTTGAGGTCTAATAAAGCGGGCTCTTTTTCAGTTTGGAGTTTTTATTTTTTTTATTTTTTTTTATTTTTGAGACGGAGTCTTGCCCTGTCACCCAGGCTGGAGTGCAGTGGCGCTATGTCGGCTTACTGCAACCTCTGCCTACGGGTTAAAGCGATTCTCCTGCCCCAGCCTCCCGAGTAGCTAGGATTACAGGCACGCGCCTCCATGCCCAGCTAATTTTTGCATTTTTAGTAGAGACGGGGTTTCGCCATGTTGGTCAGGCTGGTCTTGAACTTCTGACCTCGTGATCCGCCCACCTTGGCCTCCCAAAGTGCTGGGATTACAGGCGTGAGCCACCGTGCCCAGCAGTTTGGAGTTTAATAGCTCTCTTTCATCACGTGGCTTCTGTGAGCCTAATTCATTACATGCAAATACTACCTAATTCTCACGGTTGTTTTAAGAATGCAGCATGGCTGGGCACGGTGGCTCACGCCTGTAATCCCAGCACTTCGGTAGGCCGAGGCGGGTGGATCACTTGAGGTCAGGAGTTTGAGACCAGCCTAGCCAACATGGTGAAACCCCGTCTCTATTAAAAATACAAAAAATTAGCCCCGCATGGTGGTGGGCATCTGTAATCCCAGCTACTTAGGAGGCTGCGGCAGGAGAATCACTTGAACCCAGGAGGTGGAGGTTGCAGTGAGCTGAGATCGCGTCATTGCACTCCAGCCTGGGGACAGAGTGAGACTCTGTCTCCAAAAAAAAAAAAAAAAAAGAATGCAGCATATGAAATTAATGATGTGATATTTTCTTAGAAAAAGGTAGATAAAAATAGATAGATGTCCAGGTAGCATTGTTTATAAAAGCCCAACAAATCAGAGGAAACTATCCCTTAAAAGAGAAACAGAACCAACGTAAATATCCACGACAAGAGAATGGTTAGGTCACAGCAGTACATCAATGTACTGGAATATTATACAGACATTAAAGTTTTTCTTGAAAAGAAATGCCTTTGATAGAATGAAAATTAAAATAACAGAGATATAAAACTTTATCTCTAGTATGATCTCAACTTCACAAGAAGTGAGACTAGAGTAAAACATATCCCAACATTAACAGCAATTATCTTAATAATTATCTTAAGACAACAGACTTATGGGTTGTATGTGTGTGCATGTGTACATATGTATATATATATTATGCTTCTTTGCATTTTTCTATTTTCCAAGTTTTCTGCAATGAGCATGAGTCCTTTTGAAAATCAATGCAAAATATGAGGCTCAGAGTGGAGCACAAAGAACACCCCCCAAATAAGGCCTCACTGGCCTAAAGATCAATTAGTGCCTTTTCAAAACTCATTTGTTTTTTTGCAGTGTCAAAGTGCCATTTCAGCGTCTCTCCTCTGCTCACTCATCTCTTTTGGCTTCACTATCTTGATTTGACTGGGTTCAAAGAGGAAGCAAACACAATAGACTAAAGCCAGTCTTTAGGAACTGCCTGGGTTCATGCTACAAATAGGATGTGCTGATATAGTCTTTAAAAAAAAAACCCACAACACCAACAACCTCTTTTAACATCTCAGTGAATAAGGAGCACAAGGAGAAAATTACCTCCAAGGTGATATTCTGGCCATGTTCACCTGCTCCTGGAGCATCAGCTGTCCCGGGCATGCCAGGGCAGGGCAGGCTGCCAGATGAATGAATCTGGCCTAAGATGCCAGTGGGTAATCCGGGGACAATGGGACTTATCAGGATTTCTCCCTAAGTTATGTGTTCTGTATCCAAAAATATTTTAACTGATTGCCTCTGGGAAAACTGCTGTCTCCTACCTTCTGGGAAAGGCAGTCGGGGAAAGGCAAGGTAAGAGAATGTTTTCTGAAGTTGCTTCCACTCACATGTACAGAAACAGCAGCAGCAAGCTGCACCTTCTGTGAGTAAATGGTACTGAAAATGGCAGGACCTTTGCCTCCTTCCTGTTCTGCTCTTAGAGTGGCAAGCTTTGGGGCCTTACAATGGAACTACGTGAGAAGGGAAGGAGCACAGATAGTATGGGGTGCATCTCCTTTGTTGTTACTAAACAGAAGGCACCAAGATCTTTCCAAGGTCATCCAGGCAGTGAGACAGGATTAGAACCAAGCGTGCCTGGCCCCGGTTGTCCTTTAGAGCACAAGAGGGAGAACCAGCAGTCATCTGTTCCACAGTCCCTCCCAGAAATGCCAATGTCAATGCCACCTATCACCTACCCAGTATCTGCTGTGCACCAGGCACTGTGCAGAAATGTAGAAACCTGATTCCATCTGTTATGGGCTGCATTATGTTCCCCCACAAATAAATATGTTGAAGCCCTAACTCCTAGTACCCTAGAATGTGGCTATATTTGGAGAAAGAGTCTTTAAAAAGGTATTTAAAATGAGGTCATTCGAGTGGGCCCTAATCCAATACTACTGGTGCCCTCATAAGAAGAGGAGATTAGGACACAGAGGTAGGACCATGTAGGTCACCAGGAGAAGATAACCATCTATGAGCCAAGGAGAGAAGGCTCAGAAGAAGCCAACAGTGCCAACACCTTGATCTCAAACATCTAGCCTGGAGAACTGTGAGATAATAAGTTTTTGTTGTTTAAGCCACCCAGGTCTGTGATACTTTGCTATGGAGCCCTAGCAAACTAATGCACCATTTTAGCCATAGCCTTGCTAGAAAGACCACTGGTCCCAAATGAAGAAACTCAGGCACAGCGTGGTGAAATAACTTGCCCAAAGTCACAGTTAATAGGAAGGCTTTGATTAGAACTCGGTCTCATTGACCCCAAAGCCTGGGGCTTGACCGTTACTCTGAGAAGAAATGGGACCATTTATGTGAAAGTGCATTGCAAACTGTAAATAGTTATTGAACGAACACAACATCAGAAGGCATTGCTTCTTATTTCTACTATGGTAAAGTAGCATTCTCTTTATAGGAAATTCCAGGTTGAACCTGGTCTTTCTTCTAGAAGGGCATTTCCTGGGGATACTTTGCCCTTTAATCCCGGGGGGCTCTTTTCAGGTTAGAGAGCGTCTTCCCAAATAATCTAAGAGTTGCAAGGCATTGTGAGGCAGCGATTTGGAGCTAGGACTCTGTTTCTCTCCATCTACCAGAGGCATGGGGGTGACCTTGGGCAAATCACAGAGTCTCTCTGGGCCTTTGAATCTGACCTTCACACATTTTGGATTGTTCTGCCAACTTCTGCTGTCAAGTTCTCTGTGGGCATTTTAGTGAAGTACTCTATTTTCCTGTAGGCAACCCCATCTCACTACCAATCATAAAATAACGTTCATTGTTCCCACCCTCTGCCCTTGCCTCCTTAATGGTGACTCATCCCTTAAATCAGGCTCAGCAATCACTTCCTCTGGAAAGCCTTCCCAGCCTGGACCAGTTTCCCCTGTTATAGGATAGGTTAGCTCCAGAAAGGATGCATCTCTGCCAGAGCCTCAAACTCAGCCTAGTACATGGTGAACTCTCAACAAATATTGGTGCATAAATTAATCTCCTCTTGTATTGCCCTGTCCTGTGCTTTCCTTTCACAGTCCTTATAGTTTTAAAATTATGCAGCTGATTAATGTCTGTCTACCTGACCCGAACCACTAGACTGTAACTCCATGAGGGCAGGATTGTTGTTTTGGCTCATCATTCCATTCTAAGCACCTAGCAGTGTCCTCAAAATAGTAGGCACTTAAAAAATATTAACTGAAACAATTAAAGTAAGGAGATAGGGAGGTTTTGATTCATCCAGAAGACATGTCACCCAAGTGAATTTCCAGGGCTTAGGAGAGCTCACTCTACAACATTCATTAACATACTTTTTTTTTGCCCATCAGTCTTCTCTTGTGTCTGGCAATGCATTTACAACATTGTTAAGAATTATCTTGGCCTCCATGTGGTCACGACCTGAAGGGAGAGGCTGGCATTGGAGGTGGTAGTAATAATTCAGTGCTCTAACTCCAGGCAGGAGCTGGGGTCTGAGCAAATGCACAGCTGCATGCAATCCATGTAGGTGTCAAAGGATCAGGGAGGGCAGAGGGGAGGCAATTTTTGAGCAAAATATTGAAGTCTGAGTAAGTGTACACTTAAGGGGGAAGGAGGGAAAATTCATGGTAGGCAGATGAAACACTTAAGCAAAGGCCTAGCATGTTAAAGAACGAGGCTCGCTGGGGGAAGAGCAATTAGCCTGCATTCCTGGAGCTCTGCTGTGTGGGGGAGGGGAGGGGAGAAGAGTTGGGAGGTGAGGCTGGGAAGGTGGGGTGGACTCTCTGGAGACTTTTCTAAAAGGAGGGGAAGAGCCGGTTGTCAGTCTTATCAAGCAGGGACTCAGCTTTTGTCCCCAGCACAGGCCCAGCTCCTTTGATCCGCAGCAAGGCCATTGTTTCCCCGGCAGTGGCCTCTCTGCTTCACAGGGGAAAATGTGGTCTTTGTTCTCCTGAGACTTTTTATCCAAGTCCTGCCCTGGTGGGGACAAACCGGGCGGGGCTCCATGTGAGGATCCAGTCTCTGGCAGCTGGGGGACAAGGGCAGCCCCTGTACCCTTTCCTCTGCCTTGCGTGGGCTACACAAAGCCCTTAGAATCCTCTTGCTCAGTACAAATCATGCTGGGTTGGGGGTGGAGAGAGAATTGTGGGCAAACACTTTCAGCTTCTTTATTTTGAAAAATTGTTTTGTTTCCAGCTCAATCATAGTATAAATCAAGTGCAGTAAGTCCTGGTAAAAAACTAGGTTTGATCTTACCTGAACCACTTACTGGCTGTGTCACCTGGGATAAGACATTTCACCTTTGGAGTCACAGTTACTTTCTCTGCAAAATCCAGAAAATAATACTATTTACTGCACAGCATTGCAATGAGGTTGATGCATTCATTCATTCATTCATTCATTATCTATTAAGCACCTACTCCGTGTCAGGCACTGTGTAGTTCATTCTCCAGTGTTTCTTTAGTGCCTGGGCACAGAGTAGGTGCCAGGCACTAAAGAGACACTGGAGAATGAAATGGACTTGATTGTGCCCCACCCCCACCACCCCATGAAGCTTACAAGGGAAGGAAGGCATTAAACATATGCTTGCACATGTAAGTATTGCAAGAAGAAATACAGCTTGCTACGAGACAGGACTTCACTGAGTCTTGGCTGGGGGTGGGACAATCAGGGAAAGCGCCCCCAGAAAAGCGATGCTCATGTTAAGATTTGAAAGACATGGATAAAAGAGCCTGGTCCATGAGAGATGGTCTGAAAATATTAGTTCCCACCCCCTCTGCCTTGGATCAGATCCCTCACCAACACCTGCTGGGTGTGAATGGGCTTAAGAAGCTCCCCCTCCCCTCTAGGGAACTTAGCTGAAAAGAAGTGGATTCTGGGAATTGCTTCCAGGGGCCTGGAAATTGATGAAGACACATACAAGGGAATGAACATGGGGCCAGCTGTGACATTTTCTGTGTGCCTTAATGAGAAGTGCTGGGGCTGTACTACCCGGAGCTGAACTCTTGGCCCAGCTTGCCAGGCTGGAGGAGGAGGGGGAGTTGCTTCACAGACTGCAGGGCTTTGTGAGGGGAAAACAAATGGGTCTGTAACTTGATGGAGGCAGAGGGGAGGCTGCCAGAGCTGTGAGCCTGAAGAATAGCTTTCAGAGGAGTGTCAGGGGAGGAGGCAGCCTCTTCCCTCAAGCTAGGGGATGTGCAGAGCAGAGCTGGCTCTTGGATCATCCCCAAATCTGGATTGTGTGGGCCATGCTGCTCTGGGCACCCCTGGGCTGAGTTACTCACCTATATCCAGTACTTTGTACGAGCCAGGGGCATTTACAGAGGGTATCAGAGTTAGGCCTTGCAGCAACCCTAATGGGTGGGGGGTACTTCTACCCCAATTTTGCAGATGAGAAAGCTGAGGTTCAGAGAAGTCAAGTAACTTGCCTGAGGCCACACAGCTAGGAGTGGTGAAGGTGAGATCTATATTTAGTTCAGTATGACTTTAAATCCATATTCTTCCTTATGTATCATGCTGCTAGATAATTTTTTGATCAATATTTCCCTCTGAATTTTTAAAATGTAATAAAGAGTCCCTTGTATGTAATATGTTTAACAAAGAACTCTTGCAAATGCCATGATGCTTGCCCTGTGAGTTGAAATGCTTTTATCCTCAGATTAGAGATGAGGAAATGGAAGGTCAGCGAACCCGGTGGATCTCTTAATGCCACACAGCAAGGAAGTCAGGGAGCTGGGTAGATGCCAAATCTCTTGCACTTTCCACCACTGTCTTGAGACCCAGGTGGGCTCTTCAAGGTATCCGCTGACATCCAGACCTTCTCCTGATCCTTAAAATTAAAAGCCCAAGCACAGTCAGTTTGTTTTTCTAACAGACTCAGAGTGTTCACTCTTTCTGACTCTTGATAAAGCCAGCAGTCAAAATCTCCTTTCCTGGGGCCCCTCCTTCTGAGAAAGGGATGGTTAGCCATGTGTATTTTTCACTGGGGCTCCCACAAAGAATGTGCATATAATACGAAACATATGTCATTTGTGCTTGTGGGAGTGCCCCTACCCCATGCCCTTCCCTGCACAGCTGGGAGCCCCATCTGCAGGAACCCTGTGCAGGGGGATGGAACCATACACACCTAGAGAGGGGCCCGCCAGACCTGCCCACCTCCTGCAGGCAGAACTGGGTACTGATCCCCTCTGCTCTCCTCACTTCTCCATGGGAGTCCTGGTCCCACCACGTTTTCATTCTTGGCAAAGAACGGTGGGGCTGGGATTCAAATCAGGTGTGTCTGAGGTCAAGCGTGAAACATACCTTGCATGGGCTACAGACATATCAGTGGATGAATTAAAGAATGAACTGGGGAAGAACACTTCTGCCTCTGGTTTCTATGCAGTAGGTGCTGTTTAAAGTTTACTGGAGGAAAGAGTAAGTACACCCTGATGGGGGAGCTTCATAGTGGGTGTGTTTCAGGAGAACTCTGGAGCTGAAGGAAGCACATTGGTATTTTGTCCTTTCCCTTCTTAGAAGATAGATTGTCAGGCACAGTGGTTCTTGAATTTGACGTATATTGGCATCACCTGGAGGGTTAGTTAAAGTACAGATCGCTGGCCCCACCCTGGTCTTTCAGATTCCATGGGGCCAAGGATGGGGCTGGAGAATTTGCATTTTTAACAAGATCTCATATGATGTGATGCTGTTGGTTTAGGGCCACACTTTGGGAACTACTGGTGTGTAGGAAGAAAGAAAGAATGGTGGGTGGAGCTTGTGAGACGGAAAGATAAGAAATGAGATTATACCATGCTCAGAGTCAACATTCTAAAACTCAAACTTGGAGACATGACTCACGTGCTCAAATATCTCCCTGGCTTCCCACTGCCTTACCAGTTGGGCTCTGCTTTCGTCCCCAGCCTCATGGTTTACATTCCCCTCTTGGACTCCTTATCTCGTGCCACAAGCTTCTCATCCTTCCCCTAATGCAGTGGTCCTTTTCTTCTTTTCCTACCTTTGCACGTGCTGCTACTTCTACCTTGGCAACCCCAGTCCTCTTTTCTAAACCTGGAAAACTCCTTTTCTAAAAGAACCTATCAACTGCCACCTCCTCTGAGAAGCCTTCCTTGATACTCCTAAATGAAGTTTTAGCTTCCTTCCCTGTACTTCTACAGCAATAAGGTTGTATCTCTACTCATGGCTTCATCCCCTATACTGCAGTTGTTTCTTGCCTCTTTTAGCCTGGAATCTTCTTGAGAGTAGGAACTTTAGTCTTATTTATCATTCTATCCCAGGCCAGGGCCTGACACATAGCAGGCACTGGATAAATGCTTGTGGACAGAATGGGTCCATGATAATGTCTGTTGTGCATTTGTTATGAGTTCGGTGCTGGGTGAAGCAGTAGAGAGTAGGATAATCCACGGTAGGCCATTCATGCAGCTGCCCTGGGGAGGCACTGTCCTGAGTGCTGGGGATCTCTCTCTAAAGAATGGGAGAGACAAGCCCTGGCTCACATACAGTTTCTTGCAAGAGCCGGAGAAAGGCATAGACTGGTTAATTTCAGCAGGAATCAGTGCAGTCATGGGGGAAACACAGGGTGTCAAGGGAACTCATAGCAGTGGCACCTCATCTGAGCGGAATTGGAGGTGAGGATCAAGGAGGTGACATCTAAACTGAGACCTGAAGTAGGAAGATGAGGAAGGAAAGCTAGAGCATGGCACATTTGGGGAACTGAAATTGTCAGGTTGGTGCACACAGATGGAGTGGCCTTGACTGGGGCATGAAAGTGTGGCTAGATTCGGAACAGGTGGGGGTGAGGGCAGATTGGGGGAGGCCCTCTGAGAATGATAATATGGGGGAAGTGGGAGACCAGGTGGTCCTTGCTGAGAGAGGTGAGAAAAAAACAACAGGAAAAGAAAACAAAACACAGAAGAAAGAAAGCGACTCTCATGGTGCCATCCAGTCTGAAGACATCTTGAGGGCATGAGGTCAGTGCAGACCGACATCACCAGCAGGGGCTTCTTGGAAATGCAGTTATCAAGGATGGGAGGATTTGGAAGGTGAAATCAAGAAGGGGGAGCAGTGGGTAGAGGAGGACCTGAGGGAAGGTACATGGGTAGCGCTGAGCAAACAGCATGGGAGGTCAGGAGGCCAGGCTGGCAGAGCTAAGCACACAGAAACAACCCTCTTCATCAGGTTGCCTACACTTTCCAATCCACAAAGCCCTGCAAGCACAAGCACACAGCCCAAACAGCCCTGGCAGGGCAGGGATCACCTTCCCACGTTCCAGAGGAGGCAACCAGCACAGGGAGTTATGGGAATTAGAGGAGGGAAGTCACAGGGCCATGCAGTTTGTTCTTTTGCGAGGGGTTGACCTTTCCCCAGCTTTAAAAGCCCTAAGCCAGCAGCTTTTCCAGGGGCGAACAATGCAGGCTACTCCTTGGCAGGCATTGTGGTTTCTCTCTCACCTGATTTTTTTTTTCCTGTTCCAGTTAGCATTTAAAAACACCACCAACACAGAAATCACTCTTGCCCTCCTTAAGCCCTATACCTGTGCTGTCTCGTCTCTCTGGTTCCCTGAAAGGAATTAGGCTTTCTGGGCCTTTCTGGGCCATCGGGGAAGGGAGGGAGCATTGAAAGCTCCTGGTGTGTTAGGATCATGCTAGGCATGTTGATACATGAGGTCCCATTTAGTCTTTACCGCCAGTGGCTGAGGGGATTTATAGACAAAGTCACCGAAGCTCAGAGAGATGAAGCCCTTTGCTTGAGTTCACATTCTTAGGTGGTGGATCCAATCCCAGATCTGCTTGAGTTCAAAAGAACAGAATAAACAATACAAGCCAGTAGAAAAAGCTCAGAAACCAGAGCCTCTACCTGGGGATCAGTGTTGGGTGGAGAATATTTCCGGAACGTGATATGCTCTTTCATGGGTTCATCCCTATTCACATGCTGATCTCCTTCTTGTACTTTCCAACCTCCTCTACCCACAAGTTCCTGTTCATCTTTTAAGCAATCTGAAGATGGCTTTGAGGATCTCTGCCTGTGTTAGGTGCTCCTTTTCCAACCTCCAATTTCTTTGTGTTTATCCTTAATATAGAATTTAGCACCATCTCTTATAATGGATGTTTTCCTGGGCTTGTTTCAATGGAGTACAAACTCCCAGAGGCAGGGTTTGTATGAATCTCTGAATTCTCTGCCTATGACAGCACTTGGCATACAGAAGGTGCCTCAGTAGATTCTTGTTGAATGAACGAATGGACAAATGAAGGACTGTATCTTGTCCTTAGATTCTTTTTACCACAGTTGATCTAGTAGTCCCACCCTCCATATTAGCCTGATGAAATTCACAGAGGTGAAATGATGTGAGCAAAGTCCCAAAAGTAGCCAGATGAAAGCCAGCCAAAGCGAAATGAAATAAGCAACAACAGCAACTAACGTCCCTTGTCCCCCAACACTTTGTAATGCTCAACCACCCGGATCTTTCATCCAGAACTCATGTTGTTCTGTATCAGCCCTAGAATTGTAGCTGAGATTGGTAGCTGCCTGCCAATATTCATTCTCTTCTTGCTTACTAATGTAAATGAATTGGGGCTTGCAGTGTGTTCAGTTTAAGAAGCACATTTCTTAGCCTCCTTAGCAGCAAGGTATGGTACTGGGATTAAGTTCTGGCCAATGAGATATAAAAAGTTTTGGGGTGGAATGTTGGTGAAACCACCTTGAGAAAGAGGGTGTTGGGGAGATGGCAGATACAGCAGACCCTTCCTTCCTTCCTTCCTTCTTTCCCTCCCTCCCTCCCTCTCTCCCTCCCACCCTCCCTCCCTCCCTCCCTCCCTCCTTTCTTCTTTCTTCTCTTCTGTTCTCTTCTCTTCTCTCTTCCTTTTAGAACATGGCACAGTGATAAAGTCATAGATTCAATCTTGGATCATGAGGTAATCTTGAAGGTGGACCTGTGCTGAGGATGGAGAAGCTGAAAGACAGAAATAACTCAGTTTCCTAAAGACCATGGAGTCCTGGATTGCTCACTTTGAGACTTTGTTGTTGTTGTTTTTTAAAGAGGCCAACTCTCATTCTGTCACTCAGGCTAGAGGGCAGTGGCATGATCATAGCTCACCACAGCCTTCAGCTCCTGGGCTTGAGCGATTTTCCCTCCATAGCCTCTTAAGTAGCTGAGTCTATAGGTGCACACCACCACAACCAATGAATTTATTATTTTTTCATAGAGATGGGGTCTACTATGTTGCCCAGGCTGGTTTGGAATTTCTGGCCTCAAGTGTTCCTTCACCTTGGCCTCCCAAAGTGCTGGATTATAGGTGTGATTGGCCCGAGGCTGTTTTTAGAAATACAATCCAGAAAGCTGCCAGCAGTGGAGCCTGGCTGAGTGGGTGTCCTGCAGGTCTGAGAATGATTCACAGCTGTGGAGCTCCTGGATCATTCATCAGCACCACCTAAGACCCTGCTGTATCCAATAGGAACAGGGTAGAACTTGGACACTGTGGGTGTGGGAAGAAGGGGTTCGTGTCTCAGTTCCTCCCATGATGGTCTATGACTTTTTCGGCTGATCTCAGCTCATTGCACTTTGAGGCTTGAATGGATTTTAGAGAACCTAGATGGAGTCTGTGTTAGACACTGAGGGTTGCCTACCCAACAGCTGTTTCACATTTTTGCTTATCAGAACACTGATTCTGCTGCTGTTTGTTGTAATTCGTTTTCTCTTTCTCTGATTTGTTTAGGTAGAGGCCTGTGGTTCCTTTCTTGCCTCAGCACCTCCCCCACCACCATGAAATACCAGGGGCACATTTGGGAAAGTTTTCCTTATTCTTTTCTTAAGGAGAAGTCCAAGACCAACACTTCCCTCCTCTTGCCTTTGGGCATTACTGTGAGGGTGTGAAGTCTGGAGCCTTAGGAGCCATCTTGACACATCAAAGAATCACACTGAAAGTGGTGTGTGACCCTGACACCTTTGAGACACTGCAATACCCAACGTGGGACCCCTCCATCTGGACTACTAGCTATGTGAAATAATAGATATTATTATTGGTTATTATTTATTTATTTATGCAGCCATAAGCAGCCTAACTTACCTAGAATCTAAGCTCCATATTTGACATATGGGAAGAATGAGGCTCACAGAGAAAAAGCAAATTGCCCAAGGTCACACTGTGGGTATGACAGTGTCAGCCTAGAATCTTTTCTCCTACCTTCCTCTCTCATGGTGAAAGAAATTTGTTTCCTGCTTAATACATGGGTCACCTCAAGAATCAAGTGAGATTCCACATGTATTTGGGATAAATGGAGACCATCTTAATTGTTCTTTCCGTTTGCCTCCCTACATTTAGGCTGCTATAACAAAATACCTTAGGCTTGGCAATTTATAAACAACAGAAATTTATTGCTTATAGTCTGGAAGCTGCGAAATCTAAGATCAAAGCACAGATAGATTCAGTGACTGGTGAAGGCCTGTTCTTCATAGATAGTGGCTTCTTGCTGAATCCTCACATGACAGAAGGGGCAAACAAGCTCTCTTAGGCCTCTTTTATGTGGGCACTAATCCCACTTACGAGGGCTCCTCCCTCATGACCTAATTACCTCTCAGATATCCCATCTGCCAACACCACTGTACTGGGGATTAAGTTTCAACATGTGAAATCTGGAGGCACAGAAGCACTCAGACCACAGCACCTTTCTTTCTCCATGGGGAGTCAGATACATGAGTTTCAGTCCAAATCTACTATGGTGAGCATAATTCTTCATGATGACATAAACAATCACTCCTATATTAGTCCGTTCTCACATGCTATAAAGAAATACCTGAGACTTGTTCATTTATAAAGTAAAGAAGTTTATGCCAGGCTTGGTGGCTCATGCCTGTAATCTCAGCACTTTGGGAGGCCAAGGTGGGTGGATCACCTGAGGTCAGGGGTTTGAGACCAGCGTGGCCAATATGGTGAAACCCCATCTCTACTAAAAATCCAAAAATAGCCAGGCATGATGGTCGGTGCCTGTAATCCCAGCTACTTGGGAGGCTGAGGTGGGAGAATTTCTTGAACCCGAGAGGTGGAGGCTGCACTCCAGCCTGGGCAACAGAGCGAACCCCATCTGAAAAAAATGATAATAAAAAATAAAGAAAAGAAGTTTAGTTGGCTCATGGTTCTGCAGGCTGTACAGGAAACATAGTGGCTTCTGCTTCTGGGGAGGCATCAGGAAGCTTCCAATCCATGGTGGAAGGCAAAGCGAGAGAAGGCATCTTACCTGGCTGGAGTGTGAGGAAGACAGTGAGGGGGCGGTGCCACACAGTTTAAAACAACCAGATCTCATGAGATCTTACTGTCATGGTGACGACATGGGTGGGTGGTGGGGAGGTGAGGGGAGATGGGTTAAACCATGAGAAACTGCCTCCATGATCTAATCATCTTCCACCAGGCCCCACCTCCAGCACTGGGGATTACATTTCAACATGAGACTTGGGTGGGAACACAGATCAAAACCATATCACCCCTCATATTTACTTTATATAGCATGGTAACATTGACAAAGGTTTCCATATCTATTATTTCATACAATTCTCACAACACTACAGAGTGTGCTAGGCTATGATTATTATCCCCATTTTTCAGATGAGGACTCTGAGGATCAGAGAGGCTAAGTGAATCACCTGAGGAAGAGCCAGTCTTTGAAATTGAGGGGTGAGTAGATTAACTACAGGTCTACACCAGACAGTTACACTGTCAGTGTTCTTTATTTCTTACAAAGCCTTTTTTCCTTCTAAGGTCTAGGTTAAGACCTCCAGTGACTCTGCAAAGTAGACCAAGCGTGTATGGCTATCCCCATTTAACAGTTGAATAAGTAGAGCTTTGGAGATATGAATGATGTATCTCAGTTCACAGAGCCAAAAAGTTGTCCTCTTTCCATAACTCCAGAGCATTTTCTACAATCATCCTCAGTTTGAATATCTGGTCTTGTGGTGGGTAGGGCAGATAGGTCATCCCTGTATAAGTCATGTGTCCCAGGGGCAGAGAGAGGCCAAGTGACTTGGTTGAGATGACTGTGCTGACAGCAAAAATAAGAATCTGGGTTTCCTGACTCCCTGTCTGTTGCTCCTCTTTTCTCTTCCAACTTCCACAGCCATAGGTGATATTGGCCTGTGTTACCTCTCATCATATAATCCAAAAGGGAATCATATTTTATTTCTTTCTTTCTGTTTTCTTTTTCTTTTTCTTTTTGAGATGGAGCCTTGCTCTGTTACCCAGGCAGGAGTGCAGTGGCACGATCTCGGCTCACTGCAACCTCTGCTTCCTGAGTTCAAGCCATTCTCCTGCCTCCCGAGTAGCTGGGATTACAGGCACCCACCACCACACCCAACTAATTTTTGTATTTTTAGTAGAGACAGGGTTTTACCATGTTGACCAGGCTGGTCTCAAACTCCCGACCTTGTGATCTGCCTGCCTCGGCCTCCCAGAGTGCTGGGATTACAGGTGTGAGCCACCACACCCAACCACTTTCTTTCATCTCTCTTGGAAATACACCCATCTTATCCATGGTTATGCCCTATTTCCTGGAACATTGTCTGGCTCAATACATATTAGTTGGATGAATGAATGCATCTCTGAATTCCAACCAAATACTTATTGATTGTTAGTCACCTGGCAGGCCTTGGGAGAGGGTGACAGGGGCAAGCTCAGCCATAACAAAAATTTACCTTTAAGTCCCACTGTCCCCACTGGTCTTTGGCCTCATGGGCTTCCTGTGGCATCCTAGGCATGGTTCAGACCTAAGCCACTCTGGCAGCCCCATCTCCAGCCCTGGTGGAGCTTAGAGTAAGCACTGCTCTCCATGTAGCCTAGAGATATATTCATCCACTCTATTTATTCATGTATTTATTCATTCCACTAATTCATTCACTCATGCAATAAACAGCCCTAGTACTGGACCATGGGGATAATGAGACAGAGAGAGTTCCTGCCTGTGAGTTCCCCATAGCTTAGGGTCACAAGTATAAGCAGATATGAAAACAGTTCGATAAATGGCCACTACAGGAGTAAGCACAGGGTGCCATGGGGGTAGGGAGCAGGGGTGCCTAATCCAATCTGGGAGACAAGGAATATTTCATACCCACCTACAGCTGCCATTTATTCACAGCTTTCTATGTGCCAAGTACTCTGCCAAGCCCTTTACATTCATTTCTCCAATTTACTCCTAATAACAACCCTATGAAGAAGGTGCTTGCTATCCTGTCCATTTTACAGATGGGCAAACTGAGACTCAGAAATGGGCAGTGACTTTCCCAAGGTCTTAGAACTTGTATGGGCTAGTGTTGAGATTTAACTCTAATGTCAGGGCTCCTAGCAACTGTTCTGTATGCCCCCTGTGCAGACCACCTCCTATGCTAGTGAGGTTCCATTTCAGTTGCATCTTGAAGGGTAAGTATGAGTCTGCTGGGCAAATTGGCTGCCGTCAGCATGATGGTGGGAGGAATTGTAGAGTGTGACGATATGGTTTGGAGGTTGCAAAAAGGCATCTTAGACAAAAGGAGACAACATGGGCAAAGAAACGGGTTGAAAACAGCATTGTGTCTAGGGCAAACAAATGGAAGATGATTTCTTCTCACCCATCTTAGTAGAGAAATTCTACAGGGGATCTGTAACCCTGACGATCCGTTGCAATCAGAACCTTTGGGTGACTGTTGAGTCTTTAGACATCATACAGGAAAATCTTGGTGGAAAGAAAAATTATAGCTGGCCCTTGTGGATTTTGTAGTTTTGGGCCAGGAAGACTAAAAACAATCTCAATTCTGGTCTCAGGAAGAGGAGTGAGAGTATGGGTCTGCCCAGTGGCTGAGTGGGTAGGTGAACTGGCTGGGTTAGCTGCTGCTGTTGGGGAGGGGGAGTTTCTATTTCTTTCTCTCCCCTTCAGATCTTTCTCCTTGCTTTTCACATACCCATCTTTCTCCTTGCTTTCCACATATACTGACTGAACATTACCTGTGTGTCTAGTTTGGCGCTGTGGTAGATACATGGATAAAGTAGGTCTGACCCCTGCTCTCAAAGTATCTACAGTCTAGGAGGGAAAATGGAATATTTTGATAGATATGCTCATTGATATGCTAATATTGACAGATATGTTAATATCTATGGATATGTTCCATTTCCCCTCCTAGACTGTAGATAATCATCAGAGGGTTGCATCATTTACAAAGTGCATTTAGTTGGATATACATATTTAGGAACCCATGTGTGGCCAGGTGTGGGAAAGCAGAGATAAATGTTGCAGAATCCCTGTTTCCGAGAAGCCGAATTATAGGAGAGGAACTCCTGAAGCAGAGTGTTATGGGGGAAGCATGTGAAAGGCACCGAGGAGCACTGAGGAAGGAGGGGAGGAGTTAGGGAAGCCACAGACATGTTTCATCCTTAAAGCCAGGCCTTTATCCTGCCAGAGACAATCCCATTCATGTTTCATTTTGATGGTCTTTGAAGAAATAAAATTTGGATTGATTATTTCAGAATCCTTCATGACTGTGAAATCCATATGATGAGCTCCATTTTTCCATTGAAGGAACAGAGGCCCAGAGCAGTGAAGTGACTCACTCAAGGTCAAACAGCTGGCACATGGCCAAGCTGGGCTAACCAGGTCTTTTGACTCATGTTCTTTCTGAGACGGCCCACTGCCTCTACAAGGGAGAGAGTGACAAGTGCCTTGTGCCCATGCACCATCTACTTTTAGCTCTTTCCTTGGACCAAGGCCCAGAAAGTGCCCCGTTGTGTCACATCTGTTCAAGCCTGTGGGTGATCTGTGGGCTCTGGCTTAATCCGGTAGAAGGATTTAGTAACATAGGTTGCCTGGCCTCTCAGTGGGAGAGCTGGTTAATCTCCCACAATCCTTGTTGTTCCAGCTCCTTCCCTTAGTTACGCTGATTGGACTGAGGCTTGGAGCCCCATTTTGGGGTCTTTGAAAAGTGAATGGCAGCAGTCACTCTGAAGGTTTCCCTGAAGATGCATTGAGATTCAGGGCTTAAATGGGGCACAGGGTAAAGCTGCCTTGTCCCAGGCAGTGAGGCATACAAAAGTGGGTGGGGTTCTCTGAAGCAGTTGCAAAAAAAGGGAAGGAAAGGGCATCCACACTGACTGAGTTAGCACATTGTGCATAGCATAGCAAATTTACATACATTTGAGAGGAAACATTCACCGCCAAAGGACATGAAGATTTTGCAGTAAGCTTCAAAGACTCGTCTTGATGATATAGTCACTTCCTTGTCATTTTTTTCTGCTAGAATAGCAATCTCCTTAAAATGATGTAGGTGAAAGCATCCTGTTCCATGCCCACCTGGAAGCCCCTCTCTCGTGTTTCACAGATGGATGGGAGGAAAGTGGTGCAGAGATGTCAAGCAAGATCACAGAATTAATCATTGCAGAAGAGACTTGAATTTAGGGCTTGGACTCCAGGACAGCATGTGGGACAAACGGAACACTTCTAAGGCCACTGAGCCCTTAGGAGGAGGGTAGAGTTGGGGGGTTCATGCCCAATACATGGGCATGTTTGCTGAATGCATACAATCCAGATGAGATGGGTGGGGGCAAAGAGACTGCTTGGCCCAGTGCTAGGCTCTGTGGTCAGGTGCTCACAGAGACATGCCTGCAGCTCCCACTTTTTCTAGAGGAGCCAGTCAGATCCCAGCTCTGGAGGGCAAAGGCCATTCCTCTGAGAGAATGACCTCTTTCTCTCAAGAAGCTCCTTCTTTTAGAACAGTGGCTACTCCAGCCCCAGCCATCGAACACAACTGAACCAAGAAATAAATGGTTCTCATGGCCAGGGAGACGCTTCTACAGTTTAATTTGGCATAATTATACATTCCCTCAATAGGTTTTGTGATGTGCATTGTTATTTCAGCAAAAAATTGTTTGAGTATAAAAAGTTTTTTATTATAAAGAAAAATCGTTTTTTTTTTTGTTTGTTTTTTTCAAGGTCTTTATCATCCCCCTAGGGCTGGTTCTTTCCCACATTCGTGACAGACAGATCCTGGGGTTGCTTTCCCCCCTTTCCTAATTCATGCTTTGAAGAGAGAGGGAAGCCTAAATGATATGGTATGACGCTAGGGGCTGTGAAGGCCAGAGGAAGGCCAGGTCAATGGTGAAGGGAGAAGTGTGCCTCCTTGAAATGGAGATGGTGTCAGCCTCCCTGAGCCAGGCTGTGTCTGGTCAAGGACACAGACACTGTATGCTGGCAGATATACTGTACTTACTCAGGACTCAAATCCTGGGTCGGCCACTTGCTAGCTGTGTGACATTTGACAAGGTGCTCAACCTTGCCCTTTCCTTCAGTCTAGTTTGCTTTCCAAACTGAGGTAAAAATATTCCTGAGAGAAGTGTGTCACTGCTGGAGGATATAAAGTCACTCAATCAATAAACATGGCATTTGCTAATGAAGCACCAGTTTTATCAAAACATTGGTGGTGGTGGTGGTGGTTGTGTGTGTGTGTGTGTACCTTGGCAATAATAATATAATATTTACATTCAAACAAATACAGCTATTTAGTGGAAGAGATAGTCAAATGCTCATGAATTTTAAGGCTGAACAGGGAGCTTTGAAGCCTCTTAATGTTTGCCTTGGCCTACTTTTGCCTATATATTCTCTCTTGGTGCTTACCCATTCTCTCTTTTTCCCTGTTTCAAGGTCCTGCAGAGATAAATGTGACAGAAAGCTGTTTCTTCTATGAAATGAAAATGACATCCCCTGCCCAAGAGCAGTGGTATAATAATTCCATAAGATAATGTATTTAAAATCATTCAAGGTTTGCTGATAAGCCATTAGCTACAACACCAAAGGTACAAGGCATGAGAGAAAAAGCTGGTAACTTGGATTTCATTAACATTAAAAAATTCTGCTTTGTGAAAGACACTATTGAGACAGTCAAAAGGCAAGCCATAGAATGGGAGAAAATATTTGCAAAACACATGTCTGAGAAAGGACTTATATCCAATATATACAAAAGACATATCAACCCAACAATAAGAAAACAAACAATCCAATTAAAAAGTGAGCAAAAGGTGCAATCAGACACCTCACCAAATAAGATGTACAGAAGGGAAACAATCATGTGAAAAGTTGATCAACATAATTTGTCGTTAGGGAATTGCAAGTTAAAACAACCACAAGATATCACTACACACCTATTAGAATGGCCAAAATCCAAAACACTGACAATACTCAATGCTGATGAGGATGTGGAGCAATAGGAACTTTCATTCATTGCTTGTGGGAATGCAAAATGGTATAGCCACTTGAGAAAACAGTGTGGCAGTTTCTTACAAAGCTAAATCTAATCCTTCTCTATGATCTAGCAATATACTCCTAGGTATTTATCCAACTGATTTGAAAACGAATGTTCAAACAAAAACTTGCACACTATTGTTTATAGCAGCTTTATTTTAATAATTGCCAAAAACTGAAACAAAACAAAACAACGAAACAAAATGTCCTTCAATAAGTGAATTGGTGGACAAATGGTGGTACATATACACAATGGAATACTATTTCATGATTCAAAACATAAGGTGCTATCAAGCTGTGAGAGGATATGAATGAATCTTAAATGTGTATTGCTAAATGAAGAAAGAGTCTGAAAAGGCTGCATAGTGTACAATTCCAAGTGTATGCCATTCTAGAAACAGCAAAACTGTAATGGGAGTAAAAAGATAGGCCGGGCGCGGTGGCTCACGCCTGTAATCCCAGCACTTTGGGAGGCCGAGGCGGGCGGATCACGAGGTCAGGAGATCGAGACCATCCCGGCTAAAACGGTGAAACCCCGTCTCTACTAAAAATACAAAAAATTAGCCGGGCGTAGTGGCGGGCGCCTGTAGTCCCAGCTACTTGGGAGGCTGAGGCAGGAGAATGGCGTGAACCCGGGAGGCGGAGCTTGCAGTGAGCCGAGATCCCGCCACTGCACTCCAGCCTGGGCGACAGAGCGAGACTCCGTCTCAAAAAAAAAAAAAAAAAAAAAAAAAAAAAAAAGATAAGCAGTTGTCAGGGATTCGGGGGAGTACTGAACAGATGAGGTACAGGGAATCTTTTAGAGTGGTGAAATCATTATGCATGATACTGCAATTGTGGATATATGACAACAGGCATTTATGAAAACTTATAGAACTTCACAGCACACAGTGAACCTTTTGTATTCAAATGAATTTAAAAAACCATTTAGGGCTGGGCGCGGTGACTCATGCCTATAATCTCAGCACTTTGGGAGGCTGAGGTGGGTGGATCACCTGAGGTCAGGAGTTTGAGACCAGCCTGACCAACATGGAGAAACCCCATGTCTACTAAAAATACAAAATTAGCTGGGCATGGTGGCATGCGCCTATAATCCCAGCTACCCGGGAGGCTGAGGCAAGAGAATTGCTTGAACCCAGGAGGTAGAGTTTGCGGTGAGCTGAGATCGCGCCATTGCACTCCAGTCTGGGCAACCAGAGCGAAACTCTGTCTCAAAATAAATAAATAAATAAATAAATAAATAACCATTCAGGATGTCAAGGGAACCCAGGACCAGATGCATAAAGTGATAAAACAATCTAATTGTATCACAAATGTATAAAACAACCACAGCGATGGGGTGGATGAAATTGTTGTGGACCTAAGTAATTTTGGAAATAGAGTCTATAAAATTAAAGGCAAAAGAAACTGTATATAAGTACTGCACTCTAGTTGAAAAGTTGTTTCCTGTGGGATATGGGTTAACAATTATGATACTGCTGTACAGGTATGCTGGGACTGAACAAATAAATGCAAAGATGGTGGATGGTGGAAGCCAGGTTTTTTACTCTTAGAGGGGAGTGCATAGATAAGCAAGAGGAGGAAGCTAGAATGATCTACATGATAATGGGTTCGAGTTGGAGGTACAGTGTGAATCATGTTTAGCTTAATATAGATACAGATGTTTATATATAGAAAATGTATAGACATGGATATATACACAGGTTAGTATACACACATATATATTTCCTGGTTCTGTCAGCTGAGAGAGCCTAGAAGCAATGGCATCTCAGTAGCTGCAAGTATACCTAGAATCCATATTTTGGTTTTCAGTACTATGGTGCAGTACAAGAAACCAGCAATCCTTGGAGAAATGGCTGAATCTATGACTGGGGCCAGACGTTTATAAGACGATCCTAGAGCATCTCCTAGTACCAGAAAGTTAGAAATTTCTCAAAAGCAAAGCAAAACAAAAGCAATGATATGGGTGTATCAATGTGATGGAATAACTAATTGAAAGAGCTCCCAATTGCCAAAGCTGGAACATTTGAACAACAAAATAAATAAGGTAGCTGGGCATGGTGGCTCACGCCTGTAATCCCAGCACTTCAGGAGGCCAAGGCAGGAGGATGGCTTGAACCCAGGAGATTGATACTAGCCTGGGCAATATAGTGAGACCTCATCTCTACAAAAAATTTAAAAATTAGCTGAGCATCATGGTGTATCCCTGTAGTCCCAGCTACTTGGCAGAGCTGAGATGGGAGGATTGCTTGAGCCCAGAAAGCAGAGATTGCAGTGAGCTGAGATCGCACCACTGAACTCTAGCCTGGGCTACAGAGCAAGACCTTGTCTCCAAATAATAATAATAATAATAATAATAATAATAATAATAATAATAGTAGTAGTAGTAATGTAGCATTATAATACAAAGTATAAAATAAATACCTATGAGTCCATACTGATATAAATAGATAATTAAAGAGACTAATAGGGGAGAGTATACAATTTTTTTGTGCAGCAGAATTTCAAATCATTTACATAGATATTCTACCCTGTGGGAGATGGAGTATAACTCCCTAATCCTTAAATGTGTGTTGTGCATAGTGACCTCCTTCCAAAGAATACGGTATAGACGGAGGAAAAAAAAAGTAACGTTAGTGGAGAAACCTGACAAACATGACCTAAGCCAGGTAATCAGGTCAACATAAGCAGTGATAAGTCATGTCTATAGTATGTACCAAAATGTCACCTCTGTGGTGTTCTTCATTTCAGCCCCAGACCCAGTCTATCTAGTCAAAAGAAAAACATGAGACAAAACCTAATTGAGAGACACTCTTCATAACACCTGGCCAATACTCCACAAAACTGTCAAGGTCATGAAAACAAGGAGCTGTCACAGGCCAGAGGATCCTGAAGAGACTTAATGACTAAATATAATGTGGTATCTTGGGTGGGATCTGGGAAGAGAAATCACTCCTATAATCCCAGCACTTTGGAAGTCCGAGGCGGTGGATCACCTGAGGTCAGGAGTTTGAGACCAGCCTGACCAACATGGTGAAACCCCATCTCTAGTAGAAATACACAAAATTAGCTGGGCATGGTGGCGGTGTAATCCCAGCTACTCGAGAGGCTAAGGCAGGAGAATTGCTTGAACCTGGGAGGCGGAGGTTGCGGTAAGCTGAGATTGTACCACTGCACTCCAGCCTGTGTGACAGAGGGAGACTTCGTCTCAAAAAGGAAGGAAGGAAGGAAGGAGAGAGAGAGAAAGAAAGAAAAAGAAAGGAAAAGAGAAGAGAAGAGAAAAGAAAAGAAAAGAAAAGAAAAGAAAGAGAGAAAGAAAGACATTATGTAAAACCTAAGGAGGAACCATGGGCTTTAGTTAATTATAGTATATTAATATTGGTTCATTAATTTTAACTAATGTACCGCATTCACACACGATGTTAAGATTTGGGGAAACTGGGTGTGAAGTATCTGGGAATTCTCTGTTACCTCTGCAATTTTTCCTGTGAGTCTAAAACTATTCTAAGATATGAAGTTTATTTTAAAAAATGAGATAATAAATTATTTCATTAGTACCCTTCCCCTGAAAGGGTACTATTATTCTTCAAGAGACAAGGAAAGGGTTTTGTGGGTTTTTTTTCCCTGCTTCTGAAACGGAGGAGGAAGCAGAGTAAAACAATAATGGCCATCACTGAGTACTGAGCTACAAGCCCAGGGCTTTGTCTCATTGCATATTCCTATAACCCTGAAGGGCTAGTTACCACTATTCCCATAGATAGAGGGAAATAGAGGAAAAACTGAGACCCAGAGGAGTTAAATGACGCACCTGACAAGGCATAGCTAGCTGGGGACAGAGGATATGAAGCAGGATTCGAACCCAGGAAGTCTGGCTCCAGAGCTGTCTCCATGAGGATATTTGCCAGGCAATGTGATGGTGCCTGGTGCCCATTTAGTGCTCAGCAACGTTTCTAAACTCCTGGAATGTGTGGTGTGAGCCTGTTTTCTGTAGAAACCAAGAAAGGGCCGGCATTGTTTTTTGGACTGGGATGGTATACAGAAGAGAGATGGTGGATGGAGGAGCCAGCTTGAGGATGAGATGGGATCATGGGAAGACTTTGGACTCCAAAGGCCAGTAAGAGTTTGCCAAGTTTATTGAGATCTCCAAGGGTCAGGACAAAGCAGTGGGGGTGGCAGTGGGGGCGCGGTTCTTAGCGGACACTGGATACCACTGTTATTACTACTTGTCAGCCCCTTCCTGCCCTATTTCCTACTCACTCCCCCCTCAAATACCCTAGTGGCTCCTTCAATCTGGGCCACTTCCTCAGGGGAAACAGGATGTCTTCTCCAGGCTTGGGCCAGGTCTCTGGGGTCTGGGGTGGGAAGAAGCTGTCTAATTGGTTAACACGGAGCTAGGCACCAGAGAGGAAGTAAGGTTTCCTGGAGTTGAGGAAACTGCCATTTCCTCCTCCAGCAGGAAGCGGCCTTGGCTATTCTCAGCACCCCCTGGCCATGTGGAGCAATGGAAATCACAGCCTGGCACTGTCTCTGGTTTGCCTCCTGCAGTTTAACAATCTCCCAGTCAAAATAAACCGGCTCCTTAGGTCTCCAGGGCATGGTTAAGGTAATAATTGAGAGAAAGAGAGAAACCAGAGGCCTGGCTGTAGCATGAAGGCACGGAGAAACTTTTACAATGCCAAGCTGCTATTGGTTGCTGGTGCCTCATGAAAGCGATATAACTGCAGCACTGTGAGGGTCAACACATCAGGAGATTCAGTGATGGCTTCTCAAACAGCCGGGCTCCACCTTGCGAGAATTTGGAGCGATTTGCAGAGAGGAGATTGCTGATACTTTTAGTATCTATGCAGATGAGTTTGAACAGGAAAGCTGCATGATTCAGAAGAAAAGGAACTGGAAAAGGAATCAGACTCAAGTTCAAATGTGCACTTCACCAGACAAGCTATTTTGATGAGGTCACAACATTGTAAACTTTGCCTTCCTCATCTCTCAACAGCCATGGTAGAAAAAACCACCCTGTTTACCTCACAGAATTACTCTGAAATCAACTAGGATTCTTTCTTTATCTTCTTATGCCCACTGTTTCCAGAGCCCTGGAGATTCATTTTCTCCCTTGCTGTTTATTCCGGCCACAAAAGGTTATTGAGCACCTACTTAAAGTCTGGAAGTGATCTCCCCTGGGACAAGGAAAGATATAGTTTACATTCACAGGAGAAAGCAGATAACGAACAAGTAAACACAAATACATGAGATAATTTTATATTGCCATAAAGGGCATGAAGGAAATAAGTGAGTTGGGGGAGGAGGGATTACTCGGGATGAGGGAGGTGGAGGCCCCTGTGTGGAGATCACATCTGAATGGTACCTGACTGATGGGACCAAGTTCGCAATTGAAGGGGGTGGGCCTCTGAGTGGGAGGGGGCAGGGCTGTTCATTTATTTAATGTGTGTTTATAGGGGGAGTTTTTATTTTTGTTTGTTTTTTGTTGGTGGGGGGGATAGGGTCTCGCTTTGTCACCCAGGCTGGAATGCAGCGTTGTGATCAGGGCTTACTGCAGCCTCAACCTCCCAGGCTCTAGTGGTTTTCCCACCCCAGCCCCACTCAGTAGCTGGGACTACAGACACACATCACCTCACCTGGCTAATTTTTATTTTATTTTATTTTAATGGGGTCTTGCTATGTTGCTGGTCTCAAACTCCTAGCCTCAAGCAATCCTCCTTTCCCAGCCTCCCAAAGTGCTGGGATTATAGGCAAGAGCTGCTGAGCCAGGACTATGGAGGGATTTTTGATATGAGAGAAGTAGTGATAAATAAGACAATCAAGGTCCTTGCTGTCATGGACAGAGAAACAAAAGCAAACAAATGCAATCAGCCATTGATAAGCACTCTGCAGAGAATTAAGACAGAGGTTGGTCATGAGGTAGAGTAACTGGGTAATCAGTCCAAGGAAAGGGCAGTGCAAAGGCCCTAAGACACGAAGGAGGATGTGGGTTAGATAAACAAAGGAATGCAATGTTCTTTGGACCCACATGTGGATGTTTCTCATGGTCCACTGGTCACCCTGCTGGTCATACTTATTGCTGCCCAAATCACAGTGGCTCTGAGGCCCCTCCCATTTACTTGTGTGAATTCCAGGCTGTTTTGGAGGCTCTCCTTGCACCATCTCGTTTGCATCTCCTTGCAAACATCTTGTTGCAAACATCTCTTTGCAAACATCTTGTTGCAAACATCTCCTTGCAAACATCTTGTTTGCATCTCCTTGCACCATCTTGTTTGCATCTTGTTTACATCTTGCTTGCACCATCCTGTGCCCTGGGCATCACTCGGCCATGGCCCCCTCCTGGGTACCTGGAGCTCAGACACACTGCTAGACATAGCCTCAAGTTCAGACCCGCTGGCCCCTCCCTCATGGTGGTCTCCATGAGGACGCTGATGGGGAAGGTGGACAGCAAGGCCGATTCTAGCAAAATGCAGCTGATTGCAGAGAGGTGGCTCTGGAAGGTGATCAGGGACCCCAGTGGGATTCCCCGCCTTTGGGAGGCTGATAAGACACTGGAGAGAGACCTGGGTTTACTCCTTCAAGGAAAAAAAAATTAACATTGTCTGCTTTGTGCCAGATTGATGTCCAGCAGGGGCTGGCAACACCAGGGTCAATGAAAATCTAGCCCTCACCCTCCCCACTCATTGATCTTAGAGTTGAGTGAGACTTTAATACTAAGGTAGGGCATCTGGATGCAATTCCAGGAGCACCAACAGGCATCTGAATCACTCAGGAGACTTTCTGCAGCAAATTATAGCGAACCTAACTCACACTGGCTTGAACAATAAAAAGAGTTTATTGGTTCACCATCACCGAGAGGTTGAAAGGTGGGGAGGCTTCGGGTGTGGTGCAGTCAGGGCTTCAACTCCGGGTCTATGTGATTACCCTGGCCATGTCCTTCTTCTGTAGGTTAGCACCTTCCTTGGGCTGGTTTCTTCCAGGGTCACAGGATGGCTACCTGCAGACAGGGATGAGAGCAAGAGCATCACCCCCACAATCTCAGAATTCAATCTTGAGCATCTAGCTGATGGCCTTTTTCCACACCTGCCCAACGTCTGTGGCCAAGGAGATGCAAAGCCCTGCTAACCAATTCCTGTTGCAGAGCCAGTGGCACTACTGGGTCGACTCACCTCCTGAGCAGGAGGGAATTCTGCCTGAATCACTGGACAATGGTTGGAGGATGGACGTTGAGAAGTAGAAGTAATGTCTGTTACAATGGAAAGAGTGATATAACTGGATTTACATTGTTAAAGATCACTTTGGCTGGAGATAGTTTGGAGGAGCGCACAAGAGGAAGAAGGGAGAACAATTAGGAGCTCCCCCCAGGAGAGGTGATGGTGGCTGGGCCCAGGGGGAGGCAGGGGTGATGGAACAAAGGGGACAGACTAGAATCCTGCCTCTGATCCTTGGCAGCTGAGTGGCAGTGGCAAATCCCTTAGCTTCTCTTCACATCATTTTCCAAATCTGTAATATGGCTGTACAAATTCTTAGCCTTCAGGATTAAAGAAGATACATTAAACACGTGTAAAGAAGATACATTAAACACATTAAACACTACCTCAATAAGTGCATTTTATCATTGTTATTACCCAAACTCCTTAGCATGACGTTGGAGTCCCTTCGCATCTGGATCCACGTGACTCCAGGCGGCAGAGTTTCTGTGTTGGGCTGACAGTGCTCTTCCCGTCACAAGGTGGAAGCTTCCAAAAGGCAAAAACAATAACTCTACAGCCAGTTATGAAAGTTCTGTTTTGTCCCAGGGGATTTTGTACCTGGTCCCATCAGTCAGTGTCTACACTCTGAGCGGCACAGGGGGTGGTTTGTCGTGTTTTCAGTCCGCAAATATTGACAAAAGATTAAGGGTTGACTCAATGCACTTTGGTGAGTAAGAAAAAAACAGCTGGCTCAAATTTCCAGGCATTTATTTTCTCCTGAGTTGAGTTGCACTGTGGCTTTTGCCACTCCCCAGCTAGAGTCCTGAGCCCAGGAAAGCCCCTGCCTATCCCTGTCACTCCAAAATAATTTCACCAGAATCAGTGGGTTGAGTGTTTTTAGTACAGTCCATATAGTGCCTCAGCCTGCAAGGAAGATATGCATTCCTGGCAGAAAATGAGTCCATGCCAAATAGAGGGACCCTAAGCTAGGGATGTGTGTGTGTGTGTGTGTGTGTGTGTGGTGGGGGGCAGGGTGGGGGGCTGGTGGGAGCAGACCCATTGGGGGTATGGGGCAGTGGAGGGGGGATGGCACTACTTCAGTTTTTAGTTAGGTTTCAACTGGGATGATGGGAACCCATACGTTTGGGGATCAGATTGACCTGAGTTTTAATCTCATCCCTGCCATTCATTCATTGTGAGATTATTCATTCATTCAAAATAGGTCAGATATGGGATAAAAGCTTCAAAAGCTATTCCTAAGAAATGACTATCTAGTGATGGATACGGAGAAGTAGATTGTAACAGACTGTGATAAATGGGGAAAAAACAGAAGGTAGGAAGGACAGAGAGGGAGCACTGAATCCAGTGTTGCTTGGCGTGGTTGTGGTGGTCAGAAATCATGGGTTGCTTCCTGGAAGAAGCATCAAAGCATAGGGCTTCCTCCAGGAAGCACTGAGAAGGGAGAGGCATTAGCATGCAGAAGAGGTGTGCAGCAGGGATGGTGTTCCAGGCAGAAGTCTGTGGACAAACATGAGCATGGAGTGGAATGGGGTAGCGGGAGGCAGACCAGGCTGAAAGGGGAGCAGGGGCTGAACAATTAAGGCCATGAAAGCTGTTCTAAAGTTTCGACTTTATCAGAGGTCAAGGGAGAATCGTGGGAGGGTGTGAAGCAGAGGAAAGGCATGAGCACCACGCATTTTCAAGCATTTTTGGCTGCTTTGTGAAAAACAGACCAAAGCGGAATGAGGCAGGAAGTGGGGACAAAAGTCCAGAGGCTATCACATAGTACAGGTGAGAGATGGTAGCAGCTGGGTTGAAGGAAGGCTGTGGGGTTACGATAAACAGTCACCCGTGGAACTGGGGGATGTTTGTGATGTGGTCACAGGATCCTAGGGGAAGAACAGAATGTTATTAGGTGCCAGATGCTTCAATTGCCTCATGTTATTTCTAGTAACATCCCTGTGAGGTGGGCATGGACCTGACAGGGTGAGTGATGTGCCCACAGCTGGCAAGTGGTAGTGGCAGAACTCAACCCCAGGTCTGCCTATCCCCAGACCTGTGGTTTGTCACCACTGGATCATGCAGTTTTCCTAAGTCAAATGTAACAAGTTATTGCTTATCATATTTAAATTAAGACCCATAGAAGTTTTACCAATTCTGGAAAATTTAAATGGAGTGATAAATGCACTGAAGATAAAAGACTGAAGAAAGTTGTTGATTGATATCTTTGGAATGACCATCAGCATCCATCTCCTTCTGTGAAAACCCCAGCCACCATCCTCTCTGGGATTTTGAGGTCAGGTGTCATTATCACTAGGAAGTCTCCCTGGATTCCTACTTCCTCATCAACATTTATTTTATTTTATTAATTAAATTAATTAATTAATTTAGAGACAGAGTCTCCCTCTGTTGCCCAGGCTGGAGTGCATGGTGCAGTTTCAGCTCACTGCAGCCTCTGCCTCCCAGGTTCAAGCAATTCTCGTGCCTCAGCCTCCTGAGTAACTGGAACTACAGGTGCATGCCACCACACCCAGCTAATACATATATATATATATATATATATATATATATTTAGTAGAGATGGGGTTTGGCTGTGTTAGCCAGTCTGATCTCAAACTCGTGACCTCAGGTGATCTGCCCTCCTTGGCCTTCCAAAGTGCTGGGATTACAGGTGTGAGCCACCACATCCGGCCTCCCACCAAAATTTAGAGCACTCATTACCTTCTTATCATCGCCTCTTCACAGATCTGTTTTTCTTGCTGTCCTAGGAGCTTCTCGAGGGCACAGACTGTGTTTTCATCACTGTGGCATTCCCAATGCTTAGCGGGGTATAATACACAGTATTTGTTAAATATTGGATGAATGGATGAATGCAATCACGTTAGTGAAGGTGATACTAATAGAATCTGTTTGTTTTGGTTGAATGTGCAAGTGGAGATAAGGCTTAGTTGGTGTCCATTATCCCAAACATTTTACCTTTTGTTATGCCAAGTGTTGAGCCTTCTCTTGTTCTGTGAAATCATAAAAACTTTCTGTTTGTGTTCCCTCTTCCTCCTAGGGAAACAAGACTGCAAAGCAGCGTCCCCTTTGTATATATTCAACAGAGTTCTCCCTTTGCTGTTGTTCTCCGGGTTCTTTTGCACAAATTACATGTTCCTCCTACCCTGGCTTTAATCATCACAACCTTGAATCCTCATCAAACTCTCTGCCTATCTCAAACCAGTGCTTAAAGGACACTCTTACCCTTAGAAGAAATGGTATAATTTTCATAAACATGGGTCATTTCCCCCTTGCATAAATGTCAGATACAAAACCGCCACTTAACAAGATGTGCCAGAAATACAGAATGTCTGAACAAAGGCTGTTGACAATAGCATCTTTTTTCCTTTTTTGTAGTTCTGTGAAATTGCTCTCCCAAAATATTCCTAATGCTTTATTTACTTCAGTGTTGGGTTTATTTTGGGATAAACTTTCCTGAAGCTGAATCTTAGGATGTGATTCTTATCCTGGTCACATCCTGGGGAGTTGTTTTGTGACTTTTTTGAATGGGCCCTGGCTCTTCCAGGGAGCCCCTGGTGCTGAGGAAGAGGCAGGGGCCAGAGGATGTCAACTCCCGTGTGCGGAACACAGACAGAGATGACGAACCATCAGCTTCGGTGGAAATACTCCCCAAAGGAGAGCCTGCGCCGCCTGGTCTCCAACAATGGCAGAAGTGAACCCAGCTCAGACTTTATCAATGATCTGTTCCGGAGAGTGGTGTGTCTCATAGTTTCCAACATCTGAGTGATTTGTGACTATTAGGAATTCAGACACTGGATGATTAAAACCGCTGGTGCTGGGAATTTTCTCATTTCAGGAAATTTTGGTTGTGAGGCATGCTGGAACCTTACCAGCCAGCAGACACGAAGGGGAGGAAGTCCAGGCAGGGCCAGGAATGAGACTGTGGGAATTGACCAGAAGGCGGCACCACGGCTTAGCTTTCATGTCAGACAGATCTGCGTGGGCACCCTGCTTCCCTGAGCCTCAGTTTCTTTGCTAGCAGAGTGGAGGTGATGAGAGTTGAATTAAAGAATGTCATGCCTGGCACGCAGTAAGGGCTCCAGATGGGAGTTCTCCTCTCTTTTCTTTCCCTGAGTGGCTAGAAGTCTAATGAGTGTCTTAAGGGTGAGGTGAACTGAGGTTTTGTCTAGCCTATGGTTGGTCTGACTTGAGGGAAAGATGGTCTTCAGTGAGAATCTAAGCTAGAGCTTGGAGTTCAAGAGACTCGGCCTAGCTCTGAGAGATGAGGGACAAGGGCTGGCCAAAGAAAGATTGTCCAGATCCCAAGGCCTCTGGGCTCAGGGTTGGGCTTTAATCTGAACTTTGATCAGTGAGGAAGCTGACATAGCCCCAGGTTTATCCTGGATTATATAGTATAGAGCCATGGTTCTCAGCGTGGCCTGAGGACCCTGGAGGAACCTGAGGTACTTTTAGAGGTTCATGAGATCAGAACTATTTTTATAATGCTACTAAGATGTAATTTTCCCTTTTCATTGGTTGATGTTTAAACTGATGGTGTAAAAGCAACAGTGGTAAACAGCTGGTGCTTTAGTTTGGATCAAGGTAGTGGTAGCAAACTGCAGTAGTTATCATTGTATTATTCACCACCACATGTGCACGGTAGGAAGAAAAAAGTCAGTTTCACTTAATGTCCTTGACGAAGCAATAAAAATGATCAAATTTATTAAACTTCAGCCTTCGAGTGTCTGGCCTGTCTTTTTAATGATTGGTGTGATGAGATAAGAGTATGGGTAAAGCTTTTCTGTTGCCTACAAAAGCACAGTGGTGGTCTCAAGGAAAAGCACCAGAGTGAGTGAGTGAGTTGGGAGCTGAAGTAGCCATTTTCTCCATGGAAAACCATTTTCCTGGAAAGAACGATTGACAGACACACTGCAGTTATTCAGCCATGGGTAGTTGGCAGACACACACCCACACACACACCTACACACACCCACAGACACACGCACACACATCCACCCACACATATATATATTTAAATGATGAAGTCAGAGCTGTTACTTCAAGGAAAACAAATGACAGTATGTACGGCCAATTATAAAATTTGAGAGTTCAAATGAAAAACTGGGATTTTGGAAAACTTGTATCCTTCACTGTGAGCTGGTTTCAGATTCCACATGGCAGTGACCCTTTAAAAATCCACCACTTGTCAAGTTTTGGTGTACTATCAAAGAGGAATGTCCACAGTTATCTGAATAGATTATTAAAATACTTCTCCCTTATTCAACTTCATGATGTGTGAGGCCAGGTTTCTTCATATCCTTTAATCAAATAACACATGACAATAGGCTGAATGCAAAATATATGTGAATCTGCTTTGTATGTTAATAAGTCAGACATTAAAGATGTTGCAAACCTGAAACAATGGCATTCTTCTTACTAATTTTGCTATGGATTTTTTTTCATTAAAATTTATTATTTAGATTAACATGTAACAGATTTATTACTGTTATTTTAAGGGAATCGATAAATGTTTTTAAAAGTTCTCTAATTTCTGACTTGATAAATATTACTAGACATGACCCACATAAACAAAACCTCTTTAGAATCCTGTCATTTTTAAGAGTGTAAAGGAGGCTCAGTTCAAATCTTGGTTCTGCCATTTACCAACTGTGCTATCCTGGGCAAGTTACTTAACTGCTCTGTGCCTCAATTCCTTTATCAATCAAATAGAGATAATTTTAACCTATCTCATATAGATAAGTTGTAATAATTAAGCTTAACATATATAAAGTGCTTAGAACAGCTCCTGGTATATAACAAGTGTTATATAAAGATTCTAATGATAATAGTTACTATAACACAGCATTGTAGTGCTGTGTTATAATAGCTATTGGTTATGGTCTGTGTTCCAGTCTGTTTTCCCCACCTGAGGCCTTGGGGCAGGCTGTGTGGCTCCCCCAAGATCAGGGTCTGCTGTCTCTGATTGATCTCTGAGTCCTAGCACAAAGCTTGGCACCCATTAGGTAGTCATAAAGTTTGGTGAGGAAATGAATGAGTAGTTGGGGGAAGGCAGGACAAATTCCAGACATTCCTGATAGGCAACGAAGTTCCCCTATGAAGAGGCTAAAATCCTAAGTGGTAAGAGTGAGACTGTAAGTGGAGGTGGAGGCACAAACGGGAACTGGATTGAGGTGGGAGCAGGTAGAGTGAGAGTCTCAAACATGTGCAGTAACTGACGGAATAGCCCCTTATGACATACAGTCTGATGCCTGGTGGGGAGGTGTGCCAGGCTGAATGAAGACACCAGGTGAGACCGGCCCCACCTGCTGATGGGGCTGGGTAACACAGCCTGCTTTATTCCACCTGGATGGCCTCCGAACCTTCAAGACACCTTGGTTAATAACGGGAATCTCTGCATCTGCCGCCGCACTGCATGGGGCTGGGGAGATCAGAGAGAAAAGAGTTAGGCTGAAGCACTAAATACTAGTCTCTCATAATTTCCGGATCTACATTTTACATGACTTGGCGTGTTTGACCATGTTGTAATTGTAAATGGTTACCTCAGTTATTTTTGGACATCCAGGAAGAAAGGGGAAAAATGTAGCTCAGTACCTACCCTGCGTCAAGCACTTGATTAATGCTTTCACATGTAAACCTCAAGACCACCTCATGAGGAAAGTGCCCTTATACCCATATTGGATATGAAGAAACTGAAGCTCAGGGGATGTAAGTAATGTCTCTGTGGTCACACTGCTAATTGGTGGTCTAGCTGGGATTGGAACCCAAGTCTGTGTGAATACCATGTCCCTACCCTTTAAAAAAGCAAATTTTATTTTATTTTCTATTACACAAGTAAGGCATATTATCTAAAATTGAGAAAATACTGATAAGTAAAAAAATAAAAATTATCCATAAATTCTGCCATTCAGATATAAGAGCTACAATCACATTGGTATGTCTTTCCAGACTTTTTTTCCGCATGTATATATTTGTAACCAGCTTTTCTGCTTAACGATATATCATAAATGTCTTTCTGCATCTATAAACGTATTTCTGTATCATTTAAAAAGACTGCATAGTATTTCATTTTATGAATGAACTGTTTATTTAACTGATCTTCCGTTGCTAAATATTTAGGTTATATCTAGCTTTTTACTAATATTAAAAATGCTGCAGTAAGCATCCTTGTAGTTTAATCTGTGTGTGTATTTTTACTTCCTTGGGATAAATTCCTAGAAGTGAGATTGATGATTAAAAGCGCATTTTGGTTTCAAAGACATATACTATATTGCCAACTTGCCCCACCCCCGCAGGAAACTTATAAATATTTATTTCCCACTACAAGTGTGTGAATATTCCTGTTTCCCTGCACCTTCAACAAAAAGTGGGTATAAAAAGATGTTTGCTTGTTGGATAGACAAACAAAATATTGGTTTTAGTAAGTCCATATTCTTTCAATCTCACTTTCTTGCCTCTTGATCCAGTTTGAGTAATGCTCTGTATTAGGATATGAAAAGTCTTAATATGTTGGTTACCCAAGGTAACCAGGTAACCACTCCTGCCTGAGCCGAGTTGGGTAGAAGTGGTCAGGGAGCCAGGTGGGAGGGAAGGTATGAGTCTGAGTTTGGTGAGGCAGTAGGACAGGTTGGATGGAGAGGGGCTGGGTGCTGGTAATTGTGCTCACGCACTGGTTAGAGAGTGGTCCAACTACACAGGACTCACCTGCCAAAGTGCGCTTGCTCCCTGGGGATTCTGTTGGGCAGTCCAGACAGAGAGCTGGTGCTAAGAAATCCACCAGGGCTAGCAAGGTCAATCACGGGAAAGAGGTGTACTGGCATCCCAGCAGGAGGCAGACAGTAGGGAGCAGACATCCATTCCTGTGGGCAGCAGCCCACAGGAACTGGGGAGAAGAAATGGGGACAAATAGAATCTCAAATGTAGGAAAGGGTGCTCTTCTTGGGAGCTGCATGTCCTACCCAAGGTCCCCAAATGACTCAGCTGGCAAAGAGTTCCACAATTTGACATTCAGTCCCTTGGTGAATTCTCCATACTCCTGCAGGCTTTTAGACATAGACATCTCCATTGTGAGTAGATGTATCTGGCAGTGTGACTCAGGGATAGCTTCTGAGGGATAGACTATGCTCATAAGATTGAAGGAGATCTCAGAAACCAAATTATTGGCTTGCTAAATCAAGGTTCCAGAGGTGGAAGTCTCCCATTGGCCTGAAAACTCATGCTTTCCTTGAAATCAGACCTACTGGGAAAATGAAAACCTGTATGCAAGGTTGTGTGACAAGCATGAAATGGGAACAAGGAGAAATGGATATGTGAAATGCTTAATGCCATCTGAATAAGACATCTCAATTATCACATAGTAGGGATGGTCTTACCAATGGGGCTGTCAATATAAGTTGTTTGGCTAAATCTTCTCTACAGGCAGAGCCCCTTGGTTTGACTTTATGACCTTCTCTTTTTAATGGTGGGCCAACTCCTGTGCAACATGACTCATGTTTCTTCAGAAATGTTGACATTCTCATGGAGGGTATTCAGCCTCTTGTGTCGAGGAGCCCTTCTGTGTTCTTCAGGTGACTGGATATCTCTGCTCTGACCCACTGATTTTAAAGGTCAACTTTTAGCACAGCCTTGACTCCTTTCCTTCCAAGTTAGTGCCTGATGTCTCCTGTTCGCTACTTTGTGCTCATATCCTACCACAGCTGAAGGCTTTTGGGTTGGTGCTAGGACTGAAGGCTCCAGGATGGGGTCTGGCAAGAGTAAAATGCTAATCCAGGAGGAATTTGGGGATTGGGCAGGAAATCTCAGCAGAGGCTAGGTCCAGGGATAGCTGAGGACCCAGCACTTCTGATAGGGCTGAGCTGTGGCCTGAAAGAAGCACTATGAACGCTTTCACTGAAAGTGGGAACATCCTCATAGCAGGCCTAGCAGGTTAATGTACTTGTTCCTCCAAACCCCAACTGCCCACATCAGGGGGCCTCAAGATCTGTAATTAGGGAGCTATAGGTAGAGTGGGCAAGGGCAAATGGTCCCAACTGCAGAAATGAGAAGGCTTTGAAGGCAGGGGGCTGACAAAAAGTAAGCACTGAAACCAGTAACTGGCTAAGCAATGTCTATATTTGCCTGTCTACACTTAGGTATGGGTGGAGTAGGGAACTACTCTCATGCTGTGAATAATTTGTTTACCTCTCCTCTACTTGGTTTACAAAATAGTTGAACGCAGCTTACTTTTTTGTTTTTTTTTGAGATGGAGTCTCGCTCTGTCGCCCAGGCTGGAGTGCAGTGGCACCATCTCCGCTCACTGCAAGCTCCACCTCCCGGGTTCACTGCATTCTCCTGCCTCAGCCTCCCGAGTAGCTGGGACCACAGGCGCCCACCACCATGCCCGTCTAATTTTTTTAATATTTTTAGTAGAGACGGGGTTTCACCGTGTTAGCCAGGATGATCTCGATCTCCTGACCTTGTGATCCGCCCACTTCGGCCTCCCAAAGTGCTGGGATTACAGGCATGAGCCACTGCGCCCGGTCAAATGCAGCTTACTTTCAATACACTCAAAACAACAAGATAAAGTACACTTCAAGTAAAATTGTGTAGCAAAGAGAAGATAAACAAAACGTAGGAAAGGAGGAAAAAGCTATAGGCAGGTGAGAAAAGTACTTATATTAAAGATGTTAACAAGTCCATTATACTTGCTACTGGGAAGCCACAGATTTTGATCCGGTTTTTCCAGTAGTCAGGAAAAAAAGGGGTGGATCAAATTCATTCTTCAAAGCCCATATATCTCATCTCCTCCAAGAAGACTCTCCTAACTATACAGAGGCACAAAACACTTTTAGATGCAAGTGTAGCTTTTTTCCTCCGAAACTTGAGTTCACTGCAGGCAGAGATTATGAATATATCTTATTTTACTTTGAAAACATGAAACTTGGGAGATGAGGTCTGGAAACGAGATAGAATAGTGTTCCATCCAAGTTCTATACAGTAGACATATGACCTTGAAAAGTTGTTAAACCACTCTAAATCTCAGAAAGTTGCTGAGACGATTCAAGGGATAATTATTCTAGTTTTTATGAAGAAAGGATCTGGTGGCAAGGGAAGACATAGCCTATCTCATCCTCTACTTGCTAATATGTGGCAGATTCCTATCTGCCTAACTTCATAGATTGTTGGCAAAGGAGGCAGAGAAAGATTCAATGAGTTGTCAGAGATTCCACAACCAGTTGCAAGAACCTAACCCTAGGCCTCCTGGCTTTGTAGTCCTTGCTCTTTCTAGCACATATATAGCCTTTCCCTAGCATCCCCATTCCAACTGCCTGCCAGAGAGGTTTCCCCCTGTAAAGAGTCACAAGTTGGCAGAAATGTCACCAGGTTGACAAGTGTCTACTTGGCTGATGTTTGCTTCATGCATCCCCTTCTGGGCTATTTTGAGCCTTGGAGACGTAAGGAGGATCTATGGTAAGAAAGCAGCTACCAGCTTCACAGAGCAGTGAACCATTGAGAGAACTCTTCAATTAAAGCCTGCTGAGTGCAGTAAAAGACACTGGCTTTGCCGGACAGCAGAGGATTTTCTCATTCTTGGGAGAAAACTTGGAAACAGAAACCATTCCATGAGGCATTCTGGAATGAAGGCAAGTGGGAACAGAAGCTAGACTGGACTGCAGGAGATCTCACTGTTGTGGAACGTGGAAGAGGAAGTGGGTGTCAGACCACCGGGTGTTGGGCAGTAAGACAGGGGTGGGCTTGGTGTTAGGGTGGCCTCCATGGGGAGTCAAGTTCCTGTGTGAGCGGACGTTCATTTGGCCTCAGTGTCCCCTGGGGCTATCTGGGTGTGTGGGTTCAGACTAGAAAAACATCTCCTTGGCTGCAGGCTCTTAGCGGCTACTAGATATTTTCCACTTCTACAGCTGAGCAGGCTAAGTTTTCAAGGACCTCAGTCTTACAGACATGGATGTGGGAGGGAGTCCTGTTGGCAGAATCCCTCAGGCCTGTGGTTTGCTTTGGCAAGGTCCGGGCCCACTGATGGGGTTGAAAACAATGAAGCACCTTGATTTGTTTCTCACAGAAAGATGAGACATTAAATACTCAGAATTGGATTTCGACTGGGAGCACTTATGTATGATACCGATTAATTCATCAATTGATACAATCATCATTTGGAGTGTCCATTATGTGTCAGGTGTGGCACTCAGTGATAGGAACACAGAAATGAAAAAGATTAAGTCCCTGCTTTCAAGGGACTGACAGTCTTGTGATGGAGACAGCTGCCTAATAAGATAAGTAGGCAGGCCTGAATCCTGCAGGGCGTGTGTCCAGACCAAGGAGCTGAGGCTTCACCATGCGGGAGACAGGAAACCACTGATGGGTTCTCAGCAAGCAAATAGCAAGGTCTCTGGCTACTTCTGAGGCTGAATTTGAGTGGAACAATCCTGGAAGCAGGGAGAATCCCAGTTGTCAGAAACAGTCAAGAATTGAAGAAAGACATACAGAGCTTAAAAAGATATAGGCGACATAATCCAGAAAGCATTAACTGACAATCAACTTTTTTTTTCTGAAGTCAAAACTTTTATTTTTATTTCCATAGGTTATTGGGGAACACGTGGTGTTTGGTTACATGAGTAGGTTCTTTAGTGGTGATTTATGAGATTTTGGCGCACCCATCACCTAAGCAGTATACATTGCACCCAATTTGTATTCTTTTATCACTCACCCCCTTCCCACCCTTTCCCCCTGAGTCCCCAAAGTCTATATGTCATTCTTACGTGTTTGCATCCTCATAGCTTAGCTCCCACTTATGAGTGAGAACATACAATGTTTGATTGTCCATTTCTGATTTACTTCACTTAGTATAATAGTCCCCAATCTCATCCAGGTTGCTGCAAATGCCATTAATTCATTCCTTTTTATAGCTGAGTAGTATTCCATCATATATATATACACCACAGTTTCCTTATCTACTCGTTGATTGATGGGCATTTGGGTTGGTTCCACATTTTCGCAACTGTGAATTGTGCTGCTATATACATGTGTGTGCAAGTATCTTTTTTGTATAATGACTCATTTTCCTCTGGGTAAATAACCAGTAGAGGGATTGCTGGATCAACTGGCGGTTCTACTTTCAGTTCCTTAAGGAATCTCCACACTGTTTTCCATAGTGCTTCTAGAAGTTTACATTGCCACTAGTAGTGTATAAGTGTTCCCTGTTCACCATATCCACGCCAACATCTATTATTATTATTATTATTATTTTTGACTGTGGCCATTCTGTGAGAGTAAGGCGGTATCGCATTGTAGTTTTGATTTGCATTTCCCTGATCATTAGTGATGTTGAGTATTTTTTCATATCTTTGTTAGACATTTGTATATCTTCTTTTGAGAATTGTCTATTCATGTCCTTAGCCCCTTTTTGATGGATTTGCTTGTTTTTTTCTTGCTAATTTGTTTGAGTTCACTGTAGATTCTGGATATTAGTCCTTTGTCAGATGTATAGATTGTGAAGGTTTTCTCCCACTCTATGGGTTGTCTGCTTACTCTTCTGACTGTTCCTTTTGCCATGCAAAAACTCTTTAGTTTAATTCAACCTTTAAGTTAAACTAAATTTTATTGAGATGGTATGTCACTCTGTTGCCCATGCTGGAGTGCAGTGGCATGATCTCAGCTTACTGCAACCTCTGCCTCCCAGGTTCAAGTGATTCTAGTGCCTCAGCCTCCCAAGTAGCTGGGACTACAGGCATGTGCCACCATGCCTGGGTAATTTTTGTATTTTAGTAGAGATGGGGTTTCACCATGTTGGCCAGGCTGGTCTTGAACTTCTGACCTCAAGTGATCCACCTGCCTCGGCCTCCCAAAGTGCTGGGATTACAGGCATGAGCCACCACACCCAGCCAGATAATCAACTTTAAAGAGTACCTATATTGATTTTTCACTTGACTCTATATGGAACATACTTACATCTCTCTTGGGCCTCCTACAACTTGTCTTCTGGTGGAGGGCTTTCCACTAGTCCACTCCTAGTATAGAGTTCAGGCTCTACTTCCAGGAAGTTCATGATCTCTTTCTTCCCAAGGATATGGGTGCGGGTTCTCCCCTCATGAAGCAGGCACACCTTCCTGCTCCTTCCAAATTTCACCAAGATTTTCCCCTAAGTTCTACTTATTCTCTTCCTATTTATGAGGGTGAGTGGCCTCTTGGGCATATAACTCATTGGAGAAGGGGGTTTGATGAAAGTGGGAGGCCTCCAGAGCACAGCCAAACCAGGAGAGGTATTTACCCGAAAATCAGCCTGTGAGGAGAGAACTAGTATGATGTCATCTGGGAGGTGATATCAATATCTTTAGTAGCGGGGAAGGTATAGAGGATCAAGCTCATTAGAAAGGTGAAGATATAAATGAAAAATAAGCAATAAGTTGGGTGCAGTGGCTCAAGCCTATAATCCCAGCAGTTTGGGAGGCTGAGGCAGGCAGATCACTTGAGGTCAGGTGTTTGAGACCAGCCTGGCCAACTTGGGGAAATCCCATCTCTACTAAAAATACAAAAATTAGCCAGGCATAGTGGTATGCACCTGTAATCCCAGCCAATCAGGAGGCTGAGGCAGGAGAATCACTTGAACTCAGGAAGCAGAGGCTGCAGTGAGCCGAGATCACACTGCTGCACTCCAGCCTGGGCGACAGAGCAAGACTCTGTCTCAAAATAAATAAATAAATAAATAAAATTAAAAATCAAAAAGAAGCAATAAAGTCAGAATCTAGGTCAAGAGCAAGGCAGAGTGAGGTTTGGGGAAAAGATAAGGAGTTCAGAACTAAGTGCACAAAGAACATGATTGTGCTGTGTGCCCCTTCTTTGTGGTTCCATGTACTAGGTTCAGGCGTCATGACTAATGGAACCACGTAGAGCATTGGAATAGAACATAAATTTAAATAGAAATATAGGTCTAATTGTGTTTTA
Source organism: Homo sapiens (assembly GCF_000001405.40). NCBI lineage: Eukaryota > Metazoa > Chordata > Mammalia > Primates > Hominidae > Homo > Homo sapiens. The sequence continues at coordinate 56,401,632 of NC_000001.11, read as the reverse complement.
GACAAAGATAGAAGCAGAAGAAAGTAAAAAGAAAATAGGTGTCCAAAGGGGAAAAAAAAGATAAGTAGGTTTAACACCCACTGGGGTTAGTGGACTCTAGATGCTGGGAATACATAGCTCCTACATAATTTTAAACACTAAACTCCTATCCACATGATATAGACATGATAATCGAAAGAACTGTAAGTATAGGCCTAATATAGTAAGACCCAGGAAGGAGATGCTGGAGGGGGTTTTGTGAAAACATGCAAATTCAAACCAGCCACCTTGAAAGGTCTAAAGGACCATGTTTTTTCTTGATGGCTCAGAAATTTCCAGCTAAGTATATCAGTGTAAGCAAATTTATGACTCTCTCCTCTGCCTTTCTCCTTTGATTCAGGGGTGGGTTTCTACCTGGGGAGAATTCTGGACAAATGTTTTTAACCTGGATTGGGACAATAGTGGTGTGGCTGTCTTGACTGTTTTCCTTGCCTCTTGCTACCACCTTGGCTGATTGAGACCTCCCTGAAGCTTCTATACTTGTGAAGATTTATCTTATTCTTATAGAAGGCACCGTGACCCAGGGGCCACCATAAAGACTGTGGAGGTGTTGTTAAAATAATTACATGGGAGGCCATTAGACTAGGTGGTTCTGATGCTCCAGGCTCCTACATAATCAAATTGAAACCTAACTCAGAATTTAAAAGAAAACAAAACTCAAGCTCAGTCAATCACAGGTGACCAACTGGGCATTAGTTATGTTGTCATGAACTTCCTACCAGGGTAGTCCAAATATGGCAATTGTTTAAACTTTAACTAATTGATATATTTCTTTGCTCTGCCTACATTCACCCTATAAAATTCTACCCCTTCCACCACTTTGGTGGAGCCCACAAACCACTTGTAGTCTGAAGCTGCCCAATTCATGAATTGCTGCTTGCTCAAATAAACTCTTTACTATTTTAATGTGCCCCAGTTTATCTTTTAACACTGTGCAAGGGTGCCTAGCTGAGAGGTGAAATGCAGCCCACACTCAGCTTGCTAAGCCATGAGCCCTGACATGTAGGAAGGGGCTTCTTTTACTAATTCAAATAATTCATATATGCCAGTGGTAGTCTTGTGCTGGCCAGCAGCTAAACCTCATGCATGACATTCTCAGCCAATCACATCTGCTATTTGCAGCAACGTAGTGAATCAAACGGACATTGAGAATTATGCTCCCCAATTTCAGTGGAGGAGATGGAAGTGCAGAGAGTTTAACTGACTGACTTGGGACAGTCTCTTGTCTCTTGGTTTGTCAGGGCCAGCAGTTGAATCTACCAAGGTTTGATCCTAAGTTCAATGTTCTTTCCACTATGCCTCCCACAAGCACTTTTCTTTCTCCAGATTCCCAATATGGGAATTCCCAGCAAGTAAACTTGTGACTCAGAGGAGCTGCCCAGCTATTATTCTATGGAACCCAGGGAAAGAAATCCTAGCTCAGCCACACACAGAGCAGCATCTACTGGAAATGCCTCCTTCTTGGAAATGGAGTACCGGGCCTTTGCTGGTGCCTGTGTGGTGAGTCCTCACTGCACATCTGACCGGATCTGCCTCAAGTTCAGTTTCAACCCTTCTTTAGCAACTTCAGGCTTTTCCCTTGCAGGGTGGAGTGAAGATCGGCAAGGAGGGGGTGGGGATTGGGTGGGTTTGCAGAACATTAATGAATGTATTCTGTGCCTTTTCCATGACCCAGCTTGGCTAGCAGCACTGGATTGACATTCCACATTCCATTGTTCTCCTTCTAAGAAAACAAAACTGGCTCTATTTAGCCCTAGGAATTGTCTGCATAGGCTTATTTAAGAGAATTTGCAAACCAGATGGATTTACTGTTTATGGCATCTCCTCTAGTCCAAGAGAAAAGTGTTATTTTTGAAGCCTATAGCACCATGTTCTGAAAGGCTTCCTAGCCATTGTTCACCTGTGTTCTAGTCAGTATGCTGGCTCAGGAGAACTCCCTCACTTCTTACTTATCTGTATGCATACTTCATGCACCCCAGCCCCCGTGGGCAGCTATTGGGTTTGCTATCTAATCTCTTTCTCCACCAGCTACCCTTCTTTATCAACTTATATGTTTACAGTGATGAGACTCTGGTAGCTACTTTGTACAATCCCATTCATACCATAGTTGGGTGCACAAGAATGTCAAGAACTCAGGTCAGTCTCTGGGAATTTGGAAGCGATCTAGTGAGAGAGGCTTAGACTTCCTTTGGGCTGATGGCTCTGAATGGTATAACCTTAGAAGATGCTGCTAGTCATGTTGTCTATCTGGACAGGACAGATTTGGAAACAAGTATAAGTGCAGGGCAAGGAATGAAACACATTTCACGGAGAAATAGAGATGAAAGATGGAGTTAGAGACAAGTTTCTGGTTCCAGAACCTACTTGTTCTGGAACCTACTTGGTATGTTCTGGAACATACCAAATTATGTTCCTTGCTTTGTGTTTCAGGACATACCCTTACATTCTTATGATAAAATGCTCCTTTTGGCTCACATTATTTCCACTTGGTTTCTATTAACTATAGTTAATAATTCTTTCTAACACTTTAGCTAATGGCTCTCAAAGTGTGACCCCTGGACCACCATCATTACCTTCATTGGGGAATTTGTTAGAAATACAAATTCTCATCCTCATCTCATAGCTATCAAATAAGAACATCTGAGGGGAAAGTTCAGAAATTTGTTTTTAAAAATACCCCCAGGTATCTCAAGTGTGAGAATCACTGGCCTAGCTGTCTCAAGTATTGGGTGGAAAGAACAAAGACAGGTCGAGATTGGGACCTCAGATCCGTGAACTAAGGATGTGCCTCTGGGCAAGTCACATCATCTCTTGAATACTCAGCTTTCTCAGCAGTAAAATGAAGGATAACGATGTTTATATTACACAGCAGTTGTCAGAAACGCACAGGGATCTGGGCACTTGAAAAATATCAGTTTGTTTTTGTCTCTGTGGATCCTGTTCTGACATAAGAAGAGAAGTGGCATTGACTTAGGTCATTCATCATGGAGACACAACCTGATGTCTCCATTGATTAAAAATCAATCCATCACCTTAAGGGAATGGGTTGCTGTTCAGAGCTCATACCTAATCAGTGTACCTAGAGCTTAGTTCTGGGGCCAGGCTTCCTAGGCTATCACTGGACAGTTGGGAATTAAACCCAATAAATATAAAACTTGTTTTGATCTTTTAGGTTTCAATGATGTATTTTCCTACTGTGTGATCAAAATCACACAGTTTGGTCCATAGTAGAATAAAATAAGAAAGTCAATTAGTTTATATTTGAGGAAGGAAAGCACAGGCTTCTATTAATTTATTCATTCACTAATTTAGTCATTTGTTTACTTGCCATTTATTCATTCACTAATTTAGTCATTTGTTTACTTGCCATTTATTCATTCACTGACTCATTCACCCACCCAACACTCAAGCTACTTCTTGCCCTAGATACCATGCTAGATACTAGGGATTTATAGATAAGACACTGTGTTCCCTCCTTCCCTGCTAATTGTTGACAGATAACAGGATGAGCAAAGATAAGAAGACAGAAAATGATCTTGGCACCAGGGGATTATGGTCACAAGATCTATCTTGCTGAAGCAATGTTAGGAAGTATGAGGCATCAGAGTCAATGCTGGTCATAGAATGAAAAAGCTATAAGACAACATCTGCTTTGGTTTCAACAGCATACCATTCTGCAGTTAAAAACAGCTGTTATTTTGCAAGGACCTCGCGTTTTTTTTTTTTTTTTTTTTTTTTTTGGGTGGCCACTTTCAAGCTGACCCCAGATGATGACCATCTAGCTGGTAGATTCATTTGCCAAATACTGTTCATACTCTACGAGGAGTGGGCTGGTTAGTACTCATTAAAAAAAATCCATGTGTCTGCTACTACATGATGGCTAAATCAGTCCAACCCCAAGTGAACTCCTTCTGGTATCTAGAAAGTCTGGCTATTTTCTGGTTGAATCTCCACCCAATTCTTGGCTTTCATATCACTGAAACTTCAAGTTTATATGCAAGATGGGGCAAAAACATTGAACCTCTCCCCAGACGGGTCTTTAGGAAATTCATCCAAATGTTTCCTCAGACATATCCTCTAGGGAATTCTGGGGCCAGTATTTCAGATACAAAAGAGATGTGGATGGTCTGGAAGAGGACAGCTCCTTAGTGGCTGAGTGTTTCATCCTGTCTCATATTTGAAAGGTGGTTTTTCTGCTTGCGTCAATTACAAACTGCTTTAATGAGAGTCAAATTGTGTCTTTCTTATTCCCAGACTATAAGAAGAAGAAAAATAATGCCTAACATGTTGTATGGGGTAGACAACACTCCTGACCTCACTTGACCCTTGCCGCTATGCTGGAGGAGTAGTTATTAGCATTTCATTCTCATTTAACAGATGATGACGTTCATTTTATCAAAGTCAAAGCGTCTGAGTTTATTTTTAACTTGGGTTTCTAGACTATAGATTTTTATGTTCATTTCACTGTAGCAGACTATTTTTAAGGAGAACCATTGTTACCAGTACGCAGGATCACAAGGAACTCCTTGAGAGACCTTGGAAATGTGACAAAATTATCCTCTGAGAGTTAAAGTTTAAGATAGGGACAAGAGGATTAGTGAGGAGACAGGATGGCTCCCAGGTCGGTGAGAGTCAGCTGATCTTAATCCAACCACAGATCTTAAATCTATTTGAAGAAAAAAGAAAAGCAGAGTCACAATGGAGGGAAATGTTGGTGTTTTATCCATGCTGTGAGCTAGGAATCACGTGCTGCTATCTTAATTGGGTGCTATTAGATGGTTTATTTATGTAACTCCTCTTGTGCTGATACCTCACTCACCTGGCAACCTTCAGAGTGTGAACGTGACATCTCAAGCACTGCAGCCAGGGTGAGAGAATGCCTTGGCTGGGCCAATGTGAGGATTCCACGTTCATGTGCTGGTAGCTTCTTAATCTCACTGTATAGTAACATCTGAGTAATACAGCTTCCAGGAGATTACTGTTGGTGTGTAGGAGAGAAGGAACAGCTCTTGGAGGCTGATCAAATCAGGTTTCTGAGCCTCTGGAACTGCAGGATAAATCCAAAATTTGGGCAATTTCATTAAGAAATGGAATAAAATGTTCTTCAGGAAGACCTCTTGGAAGATTAAACCATCTACTGCTTTCTCCTGGCAGCATGTTTTCTTTGCCTGGCAGATGCAAGCCTAAATTAGGGTTCACTGCTATTCCTGTAGCCTTGGCCTCGTTGTTGCTAAAGGTCAGTGGTGCAATACATCCAAACCTTATGTCAATTCCTCTCCAAAATAATTAGCTGAATACCCAATCAATTCAGGATCATCACCTAGGAAGGCGAAGAGGAAGATAGGATGAGAGAAACGCTGTTCCTCCAATTCAGGTGCCCAATCTTGCAATACAGAAATAGACTCGTGCATAAGTAATTTTGATAATTTCAAGGGTTTTCTATGTTCCTAGAATGCATCAGCCAATATAGGGAACATTTTATATATATCATTTCATTTATTTTTAGCAACTAACCCATGAACAGATGAAAACATGAAGTCTTGAGAAGTAATTTGCTACATGTCACAGAGCTAGTAGGGCAGAATGTAGATTTGACCCCCTGAGATATAAGCTGCTGGAAAGACTATAATTGAAGATCTAAATAGATGAGCGTATAGAGCATGTGGCTGAAATTGTTCTCCTAGCAATTTCCATTCGTTACCTGATTCTGCTCTGGGAGCTCATAAAAATGAGAGCCCCTAGGCAATGTGAAGAGCACTAACTCCTTCATCAGTAAAAGAGTGACTTGGAGAAATTAATGAACTCTAATCTAGAGTTCTAGTCTAATATGAATTGACAGAGAAGGTCTAAGAACCATTTTCTTTCTTTTTTTAAAACAATTAATTTTTTTTGAAACAAGGTGTTACTCTCTCACTCAGGCTGGATGGAGTACAATGGCATGATCATACCTCACTGTAACCTTAAAATTTCTGGGCTTAAGGGATCCTCCAGCCTCAGCCTACTCAGTAGCTGGGACTACAGGCACGCACCACCACACCAGGATAATTTTTTTGTATTTTTTTTTAGAGATGGGTTCTCGCCATGTTGTCCAGGCCATTCTCAAACTCCTGGGCTCAAGCAGTCCTCCCACCTTGTCCTCCCAAATTTCTGGGATTACAGGCATGAGCCACTGCATCTGGCAGAACCATTTTCAATATCAAAAATTATAAAGGAAATATACCTTTATCTCAGATAGTGTTGCACACACTGCCTAAACTGTTTTGGCTAGAATTATATCAATCCAGTCTAGTTACACTGAATATCTCATTACTCATCATGAGCTCTGATTAACTGGTATCAGTTTATTGAATGTTAATAAACATATCTTGAGTACTTATCTATTATATGTAGGGCACTGAACTGTGTTCTACAGATATAGAGACAAAAAAGATGCTTTTCCCATTTCAAGAAAATTGTAGTCTAGGAATGGGGGAGCATAGCTCAATAAGCATTTTAAAACATTTTCTTTCAAATTATAACAATAATACATTCTCATTGCAAATAATTCAAACAGTAGGGACATATTTCTTTTTCAGGTGCTGGAGAGTGGTTGAAGGATTTTATGCTAGAGCCTCATGTAATAGGATTAGCCTTTGGAAAGATCTTTCTGGCCGCCATGTGGAGGCTGGCCCAGAGCTGCACGGTACAGGAAGCAGGAAGTCTCGTCTCAGAGACCAGCAAGCGGGCCATGGTGTGATTTCAGTCAGAGGTGGGGAGGGCCTGAACTAGGACCGAAGATGCTAATGTGGATTTGAGAGCTCACTGGGTGGGAAAGTACGTGTTGGGTTACTGAACAATAGGGAAAATAATACAACTTTGACTTAAGAATTGGGCTTTGCTAAACAAATCTTTTTACAAACTGGTCTCCTAGAAAGGGCTCTGAAGGCACAGCTAACCAAACAACTATCCCTCCCAGGCAAGAGTTTCCCCACCAGGTGAATGGTTTGCCATGTTTCCAATTCCAGGAACTAGCTGGAATAACACTTATGCAATGGGAATGCACGAGGCCCACCTCCAGGAGCCTGGCTGGTGGAGAACTTGGCAAGACTGGAGTCCTCTGCGGAGTGGAAACTCCTGCGGTTCTGCTTCAAGTGAACTTTACTTGGATGGCTGACTTCAGAGGAAGTCAGAACGGGCTGCGTGGAAGGCTGCATGGGTCTGGGCCTGGAGCCACTGGCAAAGAGGAGCCGGGGATGGGTGGGAGAGTATGATAGCACTTCATGAACAAGTCTATGGTAGAGGAAGCAGAAGACACTGTGTTGGTAGGAAACCCTGCTGTCTTTCCCAGGCAGTGGATAAAATGAGGGCTTAGGAGCCAAAATAGCCTGCTGTGTCACTTCAGCACTGTGTGACCCTGGCAAAGTCACTTAACTTCTCTGAGACAAGTGTCCTTTTATGTAAAATGGAGATACATGTAGTACTCACCTTCTAGGTCATTGCAAGGATAAGCTATAACGAATGAAAACTGCTAGTACTTTGCTCAGCACCTTCTAGAAAGTCAATAAGTGGTAGTTACTGATTGAAGAGTCATAACTTTCTAACAAATACAGCTCCCAGATGGTTGGGGAGGTGGAAGGAAGGCAGAAGGCCAACTATCAAATAAAAGGACAAACAAAGAATACACTTATAACGATAGAACCATGCTCAATTGATGCATCTAGGGATATAGGGTGAATAGAGCTTCTGAATATTTCCAAACCAAATCATTCTCAAAACTTCGAGGAGGTCTCTTATTCACAGGTATCCCAGTGTGAGTCTTTTTGTAAAATTGATGCTGCTACTGATTATCATACAGTGCTACCAAATCGCCAGGGGCTCTTAAAGGAAAGAGATTATTTGTGTATCTTCAGAAACTCTTTGGCACTCTTTTTTTTTATTAAGTAGAATTGTTTTTTGAATCCCATATTGGTGTAGTTCTTTACAGATTACCTTGGACTTTTGAGTATATTATCTCATTTGTTCTTTGAGCAATCTAGAATTGCAGATTAAGGTTAGATTCAAGCCCTTGTTCTATAGGTGAGGAAAGTGATGCTCAGAGGGCTAACATGGTTTGCTTAAATAACTCAGCGAGGAAGGTGTGGATTTAGAATCCAAGCCCAGTCCTCTGACTCTCAATCCAGTGCATGTTCCTCTCTTCAGCTGTTAGCTCTTTCTAGGGACCTGATGGGCTCTCTCTTTTGTGCACACATGTAAAAGGCACGGCATGGAGGACCTGTATGGGTGGCCAGGAGGTAGGAGTTCACCACTGAACGTGGATGTTTTGTGATAAATGCAAGTATGTAGGATAAATGCTGAGACAAAGAGTCTCCCTTTGCTTGCTCTCCACCCTGGCTATGTGGGAGAGGATTCCGGATTACAACCACCACCCTTAGAATACTAAAACCACGTTCTTCAGGCAACAGCCTAAAAGTTCTCCCACCTAACTCATCACAGAATTCTTGGTCTCAGACAAAGTGTTCTTGCAAGAATTAATCAGAACATTCCTCACAAGCCTCCTCCACTAGCTTCATGCTATCTGCCGCCTCTCTGTCAGCACCCTATGCCATTAGGTAGGAGCATCCAGGGGATGCACACACTACTGCCCTCATGCCATTCAGAAGTGGGACTCACTTATCCATCAAGGTGGCGCCCAGTGCTAATTTAGGCAATTATAGATGATCAGTTTTCAAATTTTTGTGACCGTGTAACTGGGAAATTCACTCTTACTTTATAAGGTTAAAAACGACTAAAAAGTTTTCCCATTGGATCTCACCATTGGGTTCTTTCCCAATGGCCCTCCCATTCCTTCACAAGAAGAATGGTCTGGCTTTGAATTTTAGTGCTTTTTATTCTGAAGGAAGTGGGGTTACTTGATTGAGAGTGAACACGGAAGGCTTTCTGAGAAGATGACATTTGAGCTGAGACTTGAGGGAAAAGAAGGAGCTAGCATGTGAATAGCCGAGGGAAGCACTTTCCAGGAGTGGGGAACAGGAGCTGCCAAGGCCTTGAGGAGGCATGAGTTTGGAGTGCTCAAGGAACAGGGGAAAGTTACTATAGCTGGTCCCTAGTGTGTGCTAGGGGAGTGTAGTCTCTAATGAGCCTGGAGGGGCATGTTGGAGGGCTTTAGTTGGCTCACTTGCTAAGTGTAGAGAGCTTCCTTCTCACTAAGATAGATAGATAGAAGAACTTTGCAAACTGAGAAGTGCTTTTCTAAGTCTACGTTGTATTCTCACGGTACCATTTCCCCAAGGACTCGTGGAACACCCAGATACAAGCATGACTGTGGCTGCTTTATTTTCCCAATTTCCCTATAGCCTGGCAGGCAAGGGAGCAAGAGCAAGAGCTGGACCAAAAACTTCTGGTTTAGCCAGAACACCTTCCCTGCGGCCGTCAGATAATGAAGATGCAAGGCTTGAGAGAGGAGCACAGACAAGGATGTAGCCACAGCCATCTCCCCGCAACATTGTCTTAGAAGTGAAAGAGCCAGAGGAAGGGGCTAAGAGAGCTCACCCAGACCCAAGACACCCCCAGGCCCCAAACCGTCTGCTGATGGTCACAGTCCCACCTTTTCAGCATTCCCTGGCACAATGTGTCTTCTGGCCAGTGCACAGCTTCCTTAGCTGTGTCCAATTTTTCAGAAACACCAAAGATTCCTTTTCCAGCAAGCATGAATGACAGAAGGGAACACCTAAACCGTATTTCTCTTGTAGTTAAGGCTGACTAGGGACTGCGTTATATAAGATGAAAAATACTACTGGTTTGCTTTGCCCTTTTCCCTAGCGCTTATAGTGAAGTAATCTTTTTTGAGCCCTGGCTCATAGGCTGGTGCACGGGTCTCACTTAATAATTAAAGGTACATTTCGGAAACACGCTAAGCATCTCCCCTGCGGTCTCCCTAAGCCTAGTCCTGTCCCCAGCACTGCTTTAAAGGGGAAACTCACTGTTTGCTTCCGTTTCATGGGTTGGATCTGAGCTACTTGGTATGACCCATTCGGTGCTATTTTCCATACTACTTTTGTTTCACGCTGCTTTCAAATCCATTGCTTCCGTTTCAATTTCTGGACTTGCCCTGCCCTTTGACCCTGAAAATCATCTTTATTTTGTTTGCCACCACTGGGGTTTCCTCTCAACCCTGAATTCTGGTCGCTTTGGTTTGGCCTGTGCCTGGGACCCAATCAGCCTCAGCAGTCTCCTGACCCCAGAGATATCTCACTGGGTCCCTGCAAGCCCCAGGAGCTGTAACTAAGGTAAAGAATAGTACACTTAGCACGATGACTTCCAGGTTCATCTGCGTTTTCGAAAACGACAGGATTTCCTTCTTTTTGTTTTGTTTTGTTTTGTTTTGTTTTAAGGCTGAATAGTTTACCATTGTGTACATATACCACACTTTCTTCATCCATTTATTTATTGATGGCCACTTAGGTTGTTTCCGTATCTTGGCTTTTGTGAATAACGCGGCATGCTAAAAAGGAGTAGATTTTAAATGTTCTCACCACAAAGAAAGGGTAAGTATGTGAGGTGATGGATACGTTAACTAGCCTGATTTGATCATTCTACAATGTAAAAATGTATCAAACTTCACACTGTATGCCATACATATTTGCAATTATTATTTGTAAATTAAAAAAAATAAAAGAACAAAACAATTGGCCACTCAGTCAGCTCCATTCAACTCACACTCCAGGGTGTAGTGTCTTCCTCAAGCTCTAAGGAGACGTGTTTACACAACATCCAGGCATATTTTCTGACATTTCCAGGGTACCTGGCACTGTGCTAGGCTAGGGTTTTAAGGAAAAGGGGGTGGGCTTGTCCTCTTTTCTTTTCTTCCTGCCTCCTTTTTTCCCCTCCCTCCCTCCCTCCCTTCCTTCCTTCCTCCCTCCCTCCCTTCTTTCCTTCCTTCCCTTCCAATGATATAATTCTTCCCACTTCTCTAGGCTTGTGCCCATGGAGGAATTCACTAGGAGACTAAATTCCACTTTCAGGCTGCCTGCAAAACTCCCACTGCTGTCAGGGAGATTTCTGGGCCTTTAATGAGGGGAGAATTTGATTCTAAGACTTCTTGTTAAGATAAAGACCTGGCTGGTTTATTAACTCTATCCAGCTGGGGTACGGACTCACAGACAAATAATTAAACATTCCCTGCCTAAGAAAGTCAGGGTCTCAGAGAAAACCTGGGCTGGATCCGGTGGGAAAGGGGAAAAGGATTATCCCTTACCCCTGTACCAAGAATCATTTCCTGAAAGCCTAAAGCTGGTGGGCCTTTTCCTCTCCAGAAGAACTTTTCTTTCTCTCCTCTCCACATATCTGGATCTAATCTTAAATTGCATCCTAGAATATCAGAGTTCATTTATTCAACAAATATTTATTGGATACCTACTGTGTGCCGGAGACTTTGCTAGGCTTGGGGTGGTAATGGGAGTACTTAGAGGACTTCCTGGTCATTAATACCAGGTTATACAGGAAGAGACTGGGGCCCCAAGGGAAGAAGTCACATATCTGGGACAACAGGTTTAGTGAGGTTGTGGGCCCACTCTCACTCCCATAAAATGCTTCCCCTCCACCCTCCCTGTTTTCTCCTGGGAGTTTGACTCTCCTTAGGGCACCTCTGAGTTTTAGCTGCGGGATTGCAAGTTTCCTGAATGTGGAACCATGCCTGTCACCTCTTGGCTGGCCTTTCAAGCCACTCAGGAATCTCAGTACCTGCATTGACTCATTCAAAAATATTTGAATACATATTCAAACAGAAATTTTTAGTTCAAGGGCTCAATGCCTGGAAGTTAGTAATAATTTAATGTTTGGATAATTCATAGTAACTGATATTAATAACAATAACTAATCTTTTCTCAGCCTTCTAGTATGAAAAATATGTTCTCACATATCTGCATATTAACTCTCATGATTGCCCTGGCATTAAGTATTATTATTTACTTTTTTGTTAAGGTGAAGAACTTGAGACTCAGAAAGGACTTTCTTAAATTCTTTCAGCAAATAGTGGAATGGAGACTTGAATACTGAGTGTCAACCTTGTGACCATCCTATTGTATTGTACTGTTGTGCACAAATAAAACCCCAAAAGTGTGATGCAAGTGTGCAGGTAAACCATCTATTAAAATAGTGGGAATTTGATGAAAGAGGTCATGCAAGAGGAAGGGTTTAAATTGTCTTAGAGATTCCTGTACTCATATGTTTATGGCAGCACTGTTCACAATAGCAAATATATGGAATCAACCTAAGTATCCACCAATGCATGATTGGATAAAGAAAATGTGGTATATATACACAGTAGAACACTATTCAACCATAAAAATGAATAAAATTATGTCTTTTGCAACAACACAGATGGAACTGGAGGCCATTATCTTAAGTGAAACAAATCAGACACAGAAAGACAAATACCACATGTTCTCATTTGTAAGTAGGAGATAAATAATATAGACACATGGACATAGAGTGTGGAATGATGGACATTGGAGACTGGGAAAGGTCTGAAGGTGGGAGGAGGGTGGATAATGAGAAATTACTTAATGGGTACTGATATGGTTTGGCTCTGTGTCCGCCCTCAAATCTTACCTTGAATTGTAATAATCCCCACATGTCATGGGAGGGACCTGGTGGGAGGTAATTGAATCATGGGGTTGGTTTTCCCCATGCTGTTCTCATGGTAGTGAATAAGTCTCACAAGATCTGATGGTTTTATAAGGGGAGTTCCCCTGCATATGCCCTCTTGCCTGCCACCATGTAAGATGTGACTTTGCTCCTCCTTTGCCTTCCGCCGTGATTGTGAGGCCTCCCCAGCCATGTGGAACTGTGAGTCAATTAAACCTCTTTCCTTTATAAATTACCCAGTCTTGGGTATGTTTTTATTAGCAGCGTGAGAACAGACAAAGAAATGTACAATCTATGTTACTGGAGTGATGAATAGCCTAAAGGCCCTGACTTGACCACTACATGATCTATGCATGTAACAAAATTACACTTGTACCCCATAAATTTATACAAATAAAAAATAAAATAAAACACAATGAGATACCATTGCACCCTAGCGTGGTTAAAAATAAAAAGACAAATAATACCAAGGGTTGGCAGAGAAGTGGAACCTGGAATTTCCATGCATTGCTAGTGCTAATGGAGAATGGTACAGCACTTTGGAACCTATTTGTCAGTTTCTTTGAGAATTAAACATACACTTACCATAGGACCTAGCAATCCCAGTCCTGAGCTTTTACTCAAGAGAAAAATGAAAGCATAGAAAAATAAAATAATATCTGTATATGAGTGCTCATGGCAGTTTTACTCACAATAGCTCAAAAGTGGAAACAATCCAAATGCTCATCACCTGGTGATTGGTTAAATACATTTCAGTGCATCCATACAATGGGAAAGATGGCCTTTTAATTAAATGGTGCTGGAACAATTGGATAACAATTTTAATGTGATAAAAAGGAAGGAACTGCTGATACTTGTAACAGCATTGATGAATCACAAAAACCTGATGCTAAGGGAAGGCAACCAGACACAAAATTATTCTAATAATGATGAACTTCTGGAAAAGGCAAAACCATAGCAGCTGAAATTGGTGAATGGTTGCCTGGGACTGGCTATGGTAGGGAATTCACTGTAAGAGAGTATCGATGTTACTTTTGGGGGAGAGGAAAGTGTGCTATATCTTGTTTGTGTTGGTGGTTACATTATTGTACATATTTGTCAAAACTCATTGAATTGTACATAAAATTGGTGAATTTTATTGCGTTAAATTATGTCATAAAGCTAATTTTAAAATAAATAAATTGTCTTAGAAGGAGGAACAGTGTTCAGAAGAGAGGTTAATAATTAAATATGTGTGTGTGTATGTGTGTGTGTGCATGCATGCTCATGTGTGTAGAGGGGAAAGATGTGTGTATGTGTGTGTGTGTGTTTGCTTAGGCCATTCCAGAAGGAGGCAATAACCTAAGTGGGCCTTGCATGAAGCATGGTATGTTTGTTGAATGATGAGTTTGAAGTCCTAAGCTGGAAGGTGTATTCATGAGGCAAGCCAGTGAGCAGGAAGTGGGAAGGAGACAGGCCCAGGGGTGGTTTGTGTGGGGTGGATAGGATCCAAATCTCCATTTGGTAATTTACTAGCTATATGACTTTGGGCAAATTATTTATCTCAGCTTGTTTCCTCTTCTTTAAAATAAGCATAATACTTAGCTACTGCAAGGTGGTTGCAAGGATTAAATGTCACTATGCATGTCAACAGCATAGTTGGCCCATTCCCAGATGATTTTAGGTGTTCAAGATAAATTAGTACTTGCTCTTCAACCATAAAAGGGGCTTTGTGATGCAAAGTCTATAAGGAAGCTTAGCACCAGTCATGAAGCATAAAGGAGTATGAATAGTGTCCCCAAACTGGGAAAGGTTGGTGGTTTGTGAGACATAAAGAAATAATTTTTGTGTTTACTTTCGTTTGTTCATTTGTTTTAGAAAATTGTGGTCAAGATAGGTAATAAATCAGAGTCTGGAGGCAGACCAGGTTGGGGGTACTTAAAGGACATACATGAGAAGAGAAATTCTTGTGATATAGTAGAAGAATGAAGGGGAAAGGTAGGGACAGGGCATGAAACAACAACCATCAACATTTACTGAGTATTTCCTATGTGCCAGGCATTGTTCTAAATGCTTTAAAGCCTGAGCTCATTTAACACATCAGATGAATTAACTTGTCCAGTACTCACATCACACCTGAGGTGGAAGCTGCTCTTATGTGTATCTGGAAGTAAGGAAACTGAGGCACAGCCAGGTGAAGGTGCGTGCAAAGAATGCATGCATCTACCTCAATTTACTTTTAAAATGGATTTAAAAAGTCCTTAAAGAAACATGCTCTCATTATAGAAAATTCAAAAAAGATTTCCATCTCTACGGTTCTCTTATATTCAATTTATGTTGGTGCGTTTTCTTTGAGAGTGTTTTAGATTATTTTACTCTCTACTTATATGTAATTACAATCATGGTGTGCATTTATATATATCAGGAGCATATTGCTTCTTGTCTTCATGACTATAGTTTTAAATGGTGGTTTAATATTTCATTAAGTGGGTATATTAGAACTATTTTTTTCTGCTAATATGAACATCTTGGGACAGAAATCTTTGACAGCAACTCTTATTATGTTTTAAAGATGCATTTCCTGAGGTTGAATTACTGAATGAAATAGAGTGGCCAATTTCATGGCTCTTCATTCATATTGCCAATTTGCTTTTCCCACAGGGTTGAACACATTTATAGTATCCTGAACAACGCAGGAGGCTATGAATTTAATTACATCCTTGCCAGCATTGTGTGTTTTTATTTTTATTTTTTTGTTAAATTTATTAGGGAAATATGGTAGACTGTGTGAATTTTAATTTGCATCTTTTTACTTATTATTGGGATTGATCATTTTCTCTCACATGAGGTCCCTCTTTCATGATTTAAAAAACTTTTTGGTGAGTGTAATTTTTTCAAAACAAACATTTGCATGTTAGGATAAATGAAGTACATAACGGGGCAAAGAGGGGGTAAACTTGCAGACCAGGAGATTTTTGAGCCTAGAAAACTGGAAGAAAGGCCACCCCCAGCCTAAACAAACAGAGGGGAGGCAGGAGTCATTGGTAGAATACTTGGAACCTGTTTCAGTGCTGTCCAGAAAGTGGTGAGTCTTGCCATCCTCTGGTTAATATCTTCTTTTTCCTTTTTATTACACAAATAAAGTATGTTCATTGCAGAAAAAAATAAAAATAAGGACAAAGAAATAAAAATCAGCCATATTTCCACCATTCAGACAATCCTTTAACATTTCATTGTATACTCTCTCCCTCTTTGTATAGAAAATATAACACACATACACCTCTATATAATAGTGTCTCTTTTGAGCTTTCTTCTCTTAACCATGAATTTCTTGCTCTTCCTTCCTTCCATTTCCCTGTCACTCTCTCTCACAGCTCAAATGCCTTTGATCTTGTAGTTGTTTGCACTTCCTTATTCAGAATTGCTTAAGAGACTTGAGACCTTGGGTCACATCTTCAAGGTCCTATGGGAGTCCTTATGGAATCTGAACCAAGCCACACAGTTGGCCACAGTTATTTCTGTGTCTTTTTTCAAACCTGACTCTATTTGTTATCATGTGCTTCTGACTGGCAGAGGGCAACTTGGCTAGATCTGGAAGGACAAACACAAGATAAATCTCATGTGTGTGCTCATAGTCATCGTGACTTCTTTGAAGAAGATCTGTGTAATCTAGTAGATATTCTCCAAAAAAGTGATAAAAAAAAGTTCATGTCGGACTGATCTCAACACTTCTATTATTGACTTCCATTATTGAAAAATTAAAGTTTCAAGGGCAGCTCTCTTCATAGGCTCAATTTATGAAAGGGGAGCCTCATTCTGTTCTTATGTCTCCTTCATTTCTTCTTAGCCTTTTAAAAATTTGGTCTATAGGGATAGATGGGTTCTAATGAGGCTCAGCAGGCCACCAGCTCCTAAATTCCTTGTCAGAGGCAGAATTTTGGATGGAACACTTATGTGCTTATTATATGATAAACTCGTTTGTATACATTTAACCACTCTAGATTCTCCAATCTTTCCAAACTTCAGTTACTGTATCTGTAAAAGTAGAAATAATAATGCCTATTTTGTAGATTTGCCATGGGAATAAATGGTAGAGAGAAGGTAAAAGCTTAGTCCAGGAACTGGCTCAAAGAAGGCACCTCATATATGGCAGCTCTTATTACATAAGGGGTTGCAATGGTGATTTCACCCTAGCACTGATCATGACCTGCAGTTGTGTTGGAAGCTCCTCTGGGAGAAGGATAGCCTACAAAGTATGCAAGATGATTTACACAGGCCATCCCATCTAATCTGTCTGCCATCCTACTAGATAAATTATTACCCTCCATTTTATGGATTCATTTATTCATTCAACAAATATTTATAAAGCACCTCCTGCGTGCGAGGCACTATTTCAGAATGTTGGAGGCACAGATGTTGGTGAACAGAGCAAAGCCCCTGTTCTCATGGAGCTTACATTCAGGTTGAAGGAGACAGGTGACAAGTAAGTGAATGACTATTTCAAGGGGTGGTAAGATTATGAGGGAGGAGAGAGCAGGACATGGAAGATAGCGGAGCAGAACGGGGGAGGCTGCTATTATACAGATCCATCTGTTTCTGTGAAAGGCAGATCAGAGGAGGCCTCCAGTAGTGTAAATCCGAGCAGAGACCTGAAATTAGTGAGAGAGTGAGCCATGCTGATAACCCACGGAGGCACGCTCTGGGCAGTAGGCCCTGCATCTGCAAGGGCTCGGAGGTGGGAACGCACTGGTTGGAGGCACAAGGAGGGCATTGTGGTTGGGATGGAGTGAGTGACAGGGAGTGCAGTGGGAGAAGAGGTGAGAGAAGAAGTACTGGCTGTGGGAGAAAATATTTAGTAGGGCCCTGCAGGGCATTGTGAGTTCTTTAGCTTTTACTGAGGGAAATAAGAAGTAGAGAAGTGACACATGATCTGACTTTGCAAAGTGTCACTATGGCTGCTGCATGAGAAAAGTCTTTAAGGGTGAGGGTGTGGAAGCAGGGAGACCAGCGAGGTGACTGTTGTAGTAATCTAAGCAAGGGATAATGGGAATGTGGATCTCGGTGCTAATGGGGTGGGTGGCACGAAGAGGTCAGGTTGGGGAAGGTAGAGCTGGCAGGCTTTGCTGACGGACTGGAAGGTGGGGGTGTAAATACAGTATGATGGTTTTAGACCTGAGTAACTGGTGGCATAGGAGTTGCCATTTTCTAAGATGGGGAACACAGGGTGGAGCAGGAATCAAGAGTTTGGTTGGGGCATGTTAAATTTGAGATGTCTGTTAATGGTCCAGTTGAGATGTTAGGTATGTACTTAAATATCAGAGCTTAGGGTTTTGGGGAGAGGTCTGGGCTAAACATTTGGAAGCCTTTTGCATATAACTAGTGTTTGTCATATAAATAATATTTAAGGCCATGGGTAAGATCGCCAAGGAAATGAGTACAGACAGAACAGAGAAGTGGCCCGAGGACTAAGCTGGTAGCATTTCAACATGGCACAGGTGAGGGAAACCTACGACCCATGAGAAAAATCAAAGCAAGGGGAGTCAAGCCATTTGCTTCACAGTGAGTAGCAGAGATGGAAATCCAAGCTCTATGGGTCTGACTCTGAAGTCTGTGTTATTAACCCCTCAGCAACACTCCAAATGCTGGAGCAAAGAGGTCTTTTCCTGGAGACATAAAACGTAGGTGGCTTGCCAGTCTCACCTCTCAATGCGCCAGGATTGCAAGCTAAGCCCTCAGGTTTGAGCAAATAAGATACTTCAGTTGCTGGTAGAACCAGACTACATCCATCAGTTCCAGCTGGTGCAGTACTCAAGGATCTCCAGGGAGCAAGAAAGGGCTAGTAATTAAGAAAGATTCCTTTCCTGAGCTGCACTGGGTCACAGTGACTGTCAGGGTTAAAAGATTGATGGCTTAATAAAGACCACCTGAAAAGGCAATTGACCAGCCAGGGAAAAACAATCATCGCCACCCACCCACTACCGGCAGAGTCTCCGTTGAGTCCCACCATGAAAGCAGAGCTGCTTGGAACTATCTGCACTCAATATCAGGATTGTTTGAACAATCCTCAAACAAGCATAAGATGCATTCCTTCATTAACTGGTAGTCTACTCTCTGCCCATTTCCTCGACTAGGTATGTCGAGATAAATAAGCAGTTCCCCTGCTCTTAGGAGTTCAGAATATTGCAGAGGCCATGATTATATTCAAGATTCTGAACAAGCCAAGCCCTCCATTTAAAAATGCTGCAGGTATGTATGTTTTAATCTTTTAAAACTTCACTTCTATAATGGTGTGGTGATTTAGAGCCCAGTATGTAGTAAATATTCAATAGGTTATTCACTGAATTTGAAGCATGTGTGGAGTCATAGAGAAAGGGCCCAGAATCAAGAATTAGGAGACCTGGCTGGGCGTGGTGGCTCATGCCTGTAATCCCAGCACTTTGGGAGGCTGAGGCGGGTGGATCACTTGAGATCAGGAGTTCGAGATCAGCCTGGCCAACATGGTAAAACCCCATCTCTACTAAAAATACAAAAATTAGCCAGGTGTGGTGGCGCACACCTGTAGTCCCACCTACTCTGGAGGCTGAGGCAGGAGAATTGCTTTAACCTGGGAGGCAGAAGTTGCAGTGAGCGGAGATCTTGCCACTGCACTCCAGCCTGGGTGACAGAGTGAGACTCCATCTCCAAAAAATTAAAAAGAATTAGGAGACCAGCATTGCAGCTACAGTTTTGCCAAAAATAAAAATAAAAAATAAAAAAAAATGGCCTTCTAACTTTAAACAGATCCCTCCCTCTTTCTTCTTCTCTGGATTTTAGTTTGCCCATCTGTCAAAAATCGGGTTGAATTAAATTATCGTTGGAGATATTTTAGATCTAAGATTAGAATTTGTCTAAAGGTCTAAAAGCCTCGGTTAAAAAAAAATCCCCTTCCTAAAATGCTACTAAATGTCAAGATGTGCTTTTCGTAGCACAGGTGTTCCAGAGGATTTAGGAAACCGAAGCAGATGCATGCCTGCTGTGTGAAACCCGCCATCTTCTTTGTGGAACCAGCCCCTACCCCAATATTCCACAGATTCTAATTGCTCAGCAGTTCAGCTTGATGGAACACCTGGCTGGGCAGTTTCCAGGAAACTTAGCCCAGGTCATTCTCTATGGCAGCCCAACAGTGGCAAGGTGGAAAATATATGAGCTACCTTTGCCTATTTCAGTGCCTGCCAGAAGCAGTGCATATGTTGGCCAGGAATATGGCAACTGTGGAGCGTCCTCATGCTTTGAGCCAGATGAAGGATGGATCTGTGGGTGCCCCAACCCAGAATTCGGGCTGCTGGTATGCATGTTGCAAAAAGAAAAGGTGCTTTTTTCACTGGATACCTCTTGGAAGAGAAATTGCTGTCTATTTACTTTAAGTTTAGGAAGTCCCTTTTGGGGAGCTTCCAGTGCAGAATTTTCCTAAGGGAGAGAGTCCAGTGAATTTTCATCCTTAGTGCCACCATATTAGTTCTAGCCCTGGCTTTTTTTCTTGGCAGAACCATTATATAGCCTCCTTTTTAAGTGAGGACCTGCCTTCAGTCTCCTTCCAATTCATTTTCTGTAAAGGAACTATTAATAGAGTTACCTTTTAGAAAAAAATAAATAAAAGGGAGCTGAAAATTCCTCAAACAAATTAGGTCACGTTACTGCCCTGCTGATGAGGCCTCCAAAGGCTCCCATAGCACTTAGCATTGATGCAGACACCCACCATGGCTTGCAAGCCCAAGTGGCTTCACCTGTCTCCCCTTCTGATCTCTTGTCAAATTGCATCATTTTCCTTTCACTCATTAATTTCATCCACTTTCGGTTTTCTGAGTTTGCCACATTTTCACCCATCTCAGAGGCTTACCCAATCTTTTCTCTCTGCTGTGGATACTCTTCTCTCTCCCATTCCTTTCTCCTTCTTCTAAGTTTGCCTCTGAAAGCATTTCCCTGGACACTTTATCTAAAGTTAAAGCTCTCACTATTTTTCTGGCTCAGCTCCTTACACATCAAAATGGGCAAATGTTTTATTTATGTGTTTTTCCCCCCTACTACCCCAACCCCGCTGTGAATGCTCAGCTTCAGGAAAGCAGAAACCATTTCTATGTTATTTACTGTTGTCTGTGTCACCAGGGCCTCCCTCAGTGCCAAGCACATAATAGATACTCAGTGAATGTTTGCTAAATGACCGATCTGGTTCTGCTCAACTTCCCAATGTCAACCCCCATCCCAACCCACATACACTTAACTATGTCCGATTCTTGCAGCTTCTGCCAGGTCCAGCACTCTTCCTGGCTGCTGCTCATTTGCGTGTACTGTTCCCTTGCCAGAAGTATCCTTCTCCCCTATTTTCCTCCTGAGAAACAAACTCATCTTTCAAGACTCAGTTCAAATATTATCTTCTCTTTGGTGCTTGTTCCCATCTTTCCTAGCAAAATTAAAAGCATCTGTCCCATGATCTGTGCACACCCAAGTTGCAGCCTTTGCCATTCTGCATGGTCCTGATCTGTTTTCATATCTACTTCCCCCACTGAACTGACCTCTTAGAGACAAGAACAATATCCAGCTTACCTTACATCCCTACTTCTTAACAGCGTTTGTTGTATAGTCAACATTCGATGAATGTTTGTGGAGGTAATACATACCGTAATAAATAAAGGAGCTGTCTTTGTGAAATTTCAGTATGTAGAGTCTTCCTATCTGAGAAACCTATATGTGTATACTTGCTGTTTGAATATTTCCTCTTAGAAATTTTCTCTGGGGTTCCTGGCTCAGGGAGACCACCTCTATGTTTTGTGTCTTCTAGGATTAGGCAGTTGGTTTGGTTTAGAAAACAAGAGTTTGCTGTTACCTGCTTTAAAAGCAACCTAGCAGTCAACAAAAGTCCCCTGGGAGAAATCAGGTTGCTAGTGAGGGCACAGCTCCACTCACAAATACTTCGTTTGCTAGTCTACCCACCTGTAGAACTGTTTGTTAAGGATTCATTCATTCATTCATCCACAGACTAATGCATTCATTCATTCATTCACTCACTGTCCATTGTTCCCATGCCAGGCACTGTGTTGGTGCTATGGTTACAGAGATACAAGAGGTAGAGTGATGGTCCTGTTCCTTGTGGGTGAGGAAGCACAGACAGACCAATAGTGTAGTGGGATCAGTGTTCTGGTTGGGGGTGTGTGGGCAAAGTCATGTGGCAGCAGAAGGAGGTTAAGGAAGCATACAGAGGCTCTTTATGCTGACTTCTGATACATGATAGAATTATTTGATGGATAAGGGAGGTGAGAAAGAGAGGAAAGAAAGAAGATGGGGGGAACAGCATCCACAAAGGCATGAAACAAGGAGTAGTAAGTGTGCTTGAGAAATGGCAAGGAGTTTGCAATTAACTGTCTTCAGAGCTTTGTTACTCAAGGTTTGATAAGTGGACCAGCAGCATTGACTTTGCCTGGACACTTGCTGAACAACAGAATCTGGTGTTCTCCTCTGGCCCAACTAAGTCAGAATCTACATTGTAATAAGATCCCCAGGTAGTTCCTATGCATGTTAATGTTTCAGAAAAACTGGGCAAGAGGCATTTTTCAAACTCTAGCACACATCAAATCACCTGCAAGGTTTGTTAAAAAACAACAACAATAACAACCTCCACAACAAAAACAGATCACTGGGCTCCATGTCAGAGTTTCTGAATCAGTAGCTCTGGATGGGGCCTGAGAGTGCACATTTCTCTAAGGTTCACAAGTGATGCTGCTGCTGATGGTCCAAGCACCACACTTTGAAAACCACTGTGGCAAAGTGTAGTAGAAAGGGTAATTTCTGGAAAATGAATGGGGGCAGGTAGCA
Organism: Homo sapiens; assembly: GCF_000001405.40. Classification (NCBI taxonomy): domain Eukaryota; kingdom Metazoa; phylum Chordata; class Mammalia; order Primates; family Hominidae; genus Homo; species Homo sapiens. The sequence continues at coordinate 56,379,144 of NC_000001.11, read as the reverse complement.
GAATTCAAATCCTGAAGGACCTTGAGTGCAGAAGTGTTTGGACTTTGCCCTGGAGTGCTGAGGACTGCTGTGGAGTTTTCACACAGGAGAGTGACATGGTCACTCGTTTATGTTGGGAAGATCTCCCTGGCAGCATGTGGAGGATGGTTGGGATGACAGTCACTATATTCCAGGTGAAGCTCATGGATTTCCAACCAAGTCAATGGCAATAGAGATGGCTTCAAGATAAATTAGGGGGTCAGAATCTACAGGATTCAGTGACAATAGAGATGGCATCAAGATAAATTATGGGGTCAGAATCTATGAGTCAGATTGGTCGAATGTGAGGGTGGTAGGCACACCCCTGCTTTCTGGGGACCTGGGCGCTGGAGGACATCCTGTTGCTTTTTTCCTCCTGTGGCTGTCACCCTTTTAGGTCCAGAAAGCCATCCCACTTTATTTGCCTTCTCTCCACAAGTCGGCCTCTGGCTCCATCTGACAGGTTTCAGCCTGCAGTGTTTGCAGAAAGGGATGCAGTAAACCATTCAGAAATAGGATTTATTAATAGGAGGCATGTAATTACTGCCAGACACAGCAATCTGAAGAGTTTATGGCTTAAATGTTTGGTGTCATTCATTAAAACAAAGTGGGCTCTTGGCATGGACGCTGTCACCCTGTGACCAGATCCATCTGTTTCTGTGAAAGCCCCTCCCCTCCCGGGTCTGCTAGTTGAGCCTGGCTGAAGGGGCAGAGCCAGGCAAATCATCAGGGCAGGGTGTTTGGTGCTGGGAGTGGGCCTTGCTGGGAGTCCTTTAAGGAGCAGGTCCTGGTTTCAGGGCAGGGTTCCCAGAGGGGATCTTGGCCTGTCTGCATTTGTCTCCTGAACCTCTGATTCCATAGTAACATGTTGGAAGACCTATTATTAACAATGATCTCTCACATTTATAACTCCTCCAAAGTCTTTCTCCCTTTTATTTTGCATCTCACCAGCCCCTCACAGAACCTATGATGCAGATGGCAGAGGTTAGCATGGCCTCTTGACAAATGAAAAACTGAGGCCCAGAGAAACTGGGTGAGTCCCCGAAAGTCATACAGGCAAAGGAGCGTGCTTGAACTGAGGTCCCACAAAGTCATGCTTGAAATCCCAGCTCAGTGATGAGAGTGTTGGTTTGTCTCGAGGACAGACCCAGCTGTCAGAGGTACTGCTGCTGTAGGACTTGAGTTCAAACAAAGGATTTCTTTTGACTAGCACTATGAACTTGGGAGAGCTGCTCTGAGCATCAGTTTCCTCAAGTATAAAATGGGGAGAGGGAAATATGTGACCTCCTTTACAGGGTGTTGTAAGGGTTAAATGCCCTTGCAGGGTTTGTTGCTGCTCGTCCACTTTTCCCTGACTCGTGGCCCTCTCTGGGCCTCCCAGAAAACCCTACACTATTCAGGATAGATATGTTGGTGCTCAGATGAGATAATGGAGGGATATGCTTTGGAAAATCCTTGTACACCATTCAAATGTGAGGTAATAATAGGAAAATAGATCTGCTACCATCCTGCCAAGAAACCAGCAGCTTTTGAGACAAAAAGCAGACCTAAAATCTAGAATCCTCATCATCATGATTAGTTTTGGACAGAGGAATTTTTCTGCCCTTTCAAACATTTATCTCAAAAGTTATTTTATTCTGAGGACTAAAGAGAATGCCTATGAAGCACAATGTGAAACCCATAGTAGGTTATGGATATCTGGCAGGTTGTATTAGGTTGGTGCAAAAGTAATTGCAGTTTTTGCCATTACTTTCAATGGAAAAATACTGCAATTACTTTTGCACCGACCTAGTAAAACCTGCCAGATATCCTGCTTAGTACACTAATCAGGATATTGTTCCATTCAATGGTAAGCTCTTCCCAGAGGACTGACATCTTATTTATCTTAGTATTCTCTAGTGTTTAGCACAGGGTCTGGCCTGTGGTAGGTGCTTAGCAATTATTTAAACTGAACCAAATTAGATTCTGTCATATTCCATGGATTCTTTGAAAGCAGAGCCTGTGTTTTACCCATTTCTCTCTTTCCAGAACTAAGATTAGTGTCTGGCACAGAGTAGGTACCTAGTAAATTCAGGTTGGGTTGAAATAAAGCACTGTGAAAAATAAGGTAGACTCGCCTAATGTCTGCCCTGAACCATGGGGGACCCAGGGCTCCAGGTAGGAAAGGAGTCTGGAATTTGTAGCCTGAGTAGGTACTGGTCAAATGACACACTCACTTCAAAGGCACGCAGTGGGGAGGGAAGGGGATGTGGTTTCCCAAATGCCTTTTTGGCTGGGTGAAAGCTTCAGTTGGCGGCAAGAGTCAGGTCAGGGGATGTTGGCAGCATAGAGAAGACGGCAGCCAGGACTGCCAAGGCAGGAACGAGTCAGAGGAGAGGAAGCAACTCAGATGGAGACGAAAAGTGCTTGAAATCTTCCCCTCTCTGCATCTGCAGGAACAGACGTGGCAGCAGTATGCACGCTGGAAGGAAAACAGGCTTTGCAGTCAAATAAATCTGCAGGTCCTCTCAGTGCAAGCCAGGGCTGGGGGGTCTTGAATGTCATGTTTTATTTTTCTGAATCTCCATTTCCTCATCTAAAAAAAATGGGATCAGTGATTCTTACCTTACAGGGTTGTTGTGGATATCAAAAGAGTGTTTTGTGAGTAATAAAACAGCCATTTATTAAGCACCTGCTCTCTACTAGGCACTGAGCCTAGTAGCTGTATGGATATAATTAGTAATCCCCTAATCATCCTGCAAGGTAGTGATTATCATCTCTAGTCTCCACTTCAGAGCTGAGGAAACTGAAGTTCAGAGACATTGAGCAATTTGCTCAAGTGATACAGCCAGAATTCCAACCAGGTTCTTTCAGCAAAGGTTACCATATGAATATGGACATGATGATTAAATTGTATAAATCTTTGTCAAGTCTAAAATTCTCCCAGAGCAGCAGGGTTCCTTCATTGTCAGTGCTTTTTCTTTCCCAACTTCCCCCAACTTTTTTTTTTTTAAACTAAAACTTTGGCTAACCTGGCAATCTACGAAAGAGGGGTTCCACTAAGTGATTTAAACATGATTTGATTCTCTTTGTCCTGTTGCTCTTTGGCATCAATGGGACATGGATCAGGAAATTATTTCTAGGTGTTTATATGAGGAAAGAGGAAAAGCTGCTGAGAGTTAATCTTTTAGACAATCCAACAGAATCTGAAATATCAAAAACTATCCTTCCAAAAGAAAACTATCAACCCTTTCAACATTTTTTGAATCTTTCTTTGAAGCTTTAGCCAAACAGAAGATAAATGTAAAAGGTAAGGAAAGCAAATTAACTTCTATTGAAACCCACCATGTGCCTGTGTCTTGATGTATTGTCTTCTCAGTTCCTCCTAGTAACCCCGTATGGTAGGTATCATTAGATTCATTCTTCCACATAAGGATGCTCAGAAAGGTAAATATTTGTCTGAGTTCATACAATGATTTGGCAGGAAAGCCAAGATTCAAACCGCAGCCTGCTTGGTCCTAAAGCCCAGGCTTTTTTTTTTTTTTTCTTCTTCTCCCTGCTTCTGAGTCTGCAGTCTCCTGAGGGGAGCAGTTGTTTCCTCTTTGTTTAAGGAGTCCGTCCTTTTGTCCTGGATAGCCCCAGAGAGATCCTGCATCTTCAGAAGAAAAAGGACTTTTCGCTTTAAGACTGCTTGGGACCTCCAAAGGTCTTTAGCAGAAAATGCAAGCAAGCACCCTATTGGAAGGTACTCTTAATGAAATGAACACCGGCTGGATGGTTCTATTTTTGGATGTGGGCTCAGACATTAGGAGCAGGCAGTATCTTTTCTTTTTCTTTTTCTTTCTTTCTTTTTTTTTTTTTTTGACAGGATGGGCTGGGGTTGGGGGAGGAGGAAGCAAGAATTAAGCAGAGAAGGCAAGCTCCTTTCTGTTCATCTAACTCAAAGTGAGTATTATGGATTTAAATAACCCATGTGCAGTTCTATTACTTAGTGGTTTTACCCAGATCTAGGCTACTACAGGTGAAAGATGTTCTATCTGTCCTGTGCTTAATTTTTAATGCAGTCTTGAATTACTTTTGTAGAAAAATCCAAACACTTAGTTTGCATGCCATCCTCAAGGTTCTCCTTCTGGGGTGGAAAGCTCACAGGCTTTGGGGATTGTGAGGCTTGAGTTCGACCTTCTGCCATGCCACTGATCTGTGTGGCTTTGGGTAAGCCATCTAGTATCTCTGACCTTAGGCCCCTCCTCTGTAAAATGAGTACAATCATGCATGCTTTTTAAGGTTGTCATCATTGCAAAGTGCTTGATGCTTGGCAGACACTCATTAAACATTAGTTACTTTTTCTCCCTGTATCTCAAAGTGCAAATTCTTTATCTTTATTCTCTTAGGTCGAGAAGGGCATGAGTGATGACCTATATTTTTAGGACAGCTTGGATCCACCCAGATTGTTGGCAGGGGCTATTGGCTGTGGTTTAAGACTTAAGCCAATGCCCATTATGTCATTATGGAGCCTGCAAAAGTGATTACTAATGTTACTTTTCCAGTTCACTGCAGAGCAGAGGGGAGAGTTTTTCACACTGCTGGCGTTTTGTTGGAGCACGAAGATACGAATCACAGATGGCTTCCTCGGCAGATGTGGCCCTGTAGAACTGCAGTGCTGGTTTATAAGGGGTTTAATGAAAACCTGGCACCCTCCCAGACTTGAATCAATCCTCTAGGGTCTCAGCTTATGCACGTACAGACCAATCTGCAAATGTGCACCATTATTGACGGTGTGGGGAATGCTGGGGTGAAAAGTTTTTACCTGAGAAACAAAGCCAAACCTATCTGGCCAAGTTCACAGGCTTGGCCTGGGAGATGGAACAGTGCCGTGGAAGGGAAGTTGGTAGGAGAAGAGTGGCTGCAGCTGGAGGATGTCCAGATGGCCGCTGCCCAGCTGGGGGTGATCCGGGCTCAGGGTAGAATGATGGTTTTACCAGCTGCTTCGGGCTCACAGTATTTTCTTCCTTGCCATGGCTAAAAAGAGTGAGCAGGACTCGCAAGTGGGAGATATGGAATATCGAAATAGTTTCTGTCTAGTTCATATTATGGACTGGAACTGAACTTGCATATTGTTGCTTCTGCTTGAAATGTTCTTCAAATGGTCAGCTTGCTATTTCTCATCTGTTTTATTTTGGCTTCAGTGTCATTCCTTGGCAAATGCTTTCTTGATCACTTCCCTGAAAGAATCTCCAAGCTCTTTGCCATATTCTATCTTAGTTGTGCATTTGTTCATAATATATCACAATTTATTTGCCTATTTGGTTGCTGTTTTGGTCCTTTACTAAAATATAAGCTCTTTGAGGGTAGGAAGTCTGTTCATCTTGTTCACCAATGCAGCCGAGTGCCTAGTGGAGTACCTGGAACATAGTAGACATTCAACAAATATTGTTGGATGGATGAATACATTTTTGTGACAAGACTAAGATAAATCAGTCTTTGTAGATTAAAGCCACCATTTACAAGCTGTATAACTGTCTAAATTACTTAATCTTTCTTAGTCTCAGATTCTTTATCTGTGAAAAAAAAGATGGCCAGGCGCGGTGGCTCACGCCTGTAATCCCAGCACTTTGGGAGGCCGAGGCGGGTGGATCACCCGAGGTCTAGAGTTCGAGACCAGCCTGACCAACATGGTGAAATCCCATCTCTACTAGAAATACAAATTAGCCGGGTGTGTTCGTGGGCACTTGTAATCCCAGCTACTCGGGAGGCTGAGGCAGGAGAATCTCTTGAACCCAGGGGACGGAGGTTGCAGTGAGCCAAGATCACACCACTGCACTCCAGCCTGGGCAACAAGAGCAAAACTCCATCTCAAAACAGAAAAAAAAAAAGATAAAAATATAGTAGAGGGAGCTGTTTGTGTAGAATAGTGTCTAGAAATAAGAAATGGTCAATAAAGCTATTATTATCCAGTTATTGAAGAATTAAGTTCACCACCAACAAATATTTATCAATATTTCTATTCTAATATCTATTGAGAATCTAGTATATGCTATGCCCCCACACCAAGCACTTTTACATGCATTATCTTATGCTATTCTTCACAACCTTGTGAGATATTCTTCCCATTTTAGAACAAAGGAAATAGATTAAGTGGTTTGAACAAGCTTACATAGCTACTCAGTGGCAGAGGCAGTATTAACTCCATTTCTATTTTTAAAGCCCTAATTTTCCCCCATAATTCCAGGCTGCTTCCTATTAACACTCATTCTGGATAAATAAACATAAGGAAGCCACATTCTCTGTCCTCTGGAGGCTCTGGTTTAGGTGATAAGACATATGTAAGAGTAAAATGAACACTAATAAAAACCATTTTTTTGGTGCTGCTTTGAAGTTTACAAAGCTTGTCCCAATATTTACAATACATTCAAGTTTTAAAAGATTATTACCCAGGATATATAAATAATTCATACAAGTCAATAAGAAAAAGACAAACAATGGAAAAATCTACAGATTATGAACAGGCAACTGGAATGGCCAATAATCATATAAAAAGATGTTTGACATTATGAGCTGTTGGGGAAATTCAAATGAGAACAGTAAGACACTATTTCCCATTGTCGGATAGGCAAAAATAACAGTCTGAGATACCCAATGTTGAGGAGGATAAGGAGACATGAGAACTATCATACCATGCTGGTGGGACTATAAATTGGTAAAACAGTTTGGGGAGCAACTGGCAATACATAGTAGCAGTCAATATGAATACACAACCAGGGCTTCCTCTATGAGGTAATAGCTTAGAGAAATTTTTGCATATGTGCCAAAGGAGATGTGCAATAATGTTCAGTGTTAGCATTGTATATAATAGTGCAATATTGGAAATAATCTAAAAGTACATTAATAGAGGAATGGATAAACAAATGGATCTTTTTTTAGATAGAACATAAAATAGCAAAAATAAAGCAACATAAAATAGCAACTAAAAGAATAAATTAGAGCTACATTTAGCAATATGATAAATCACTAAAACATTATTGAATAAAAAAGACCAAGTTGCAGAAAGGCACAGACAAGATATCATTTATGTGTATTTAAAAACGTGCAGGCTGGCCGGGCGCCGTGGCTCATGCCTGTAATCCCAGCACT